>NC_000001.11:239365939-239517454 GCF_000001405.40 Homo sapiens | reverse complement strand
GATGTAAAATAAATGGGAAAGTGAGGTTTGAGAAGTCGGGCAGCTTGAACTTTTGCTTTGTCACATATCTGCTGTGTGAATTTGGGCAAGCTGTTTAACCTCTCTGTACCTCCGCTTTCACATTTATAAATTGAGGGAAATAAATAATCCTAACCCAAGTGTCAAGGTTTGATTGGGATACTATAATCAGTGATAAGACACAGCTAGCACTTTCCAAGAACTTATTATAAGCCAAAATTTACATACATTGTCTCCTTTAATCCAGTGGCCTCCAAACTTTTGGGCACCAGGGATCGATTTCATGGAAGACAATTTTTCTATGGACCGGGCAGGAGGATGGTGGTTTCAGGATGATTCAAGTACATTACATTTATTGTGTACTTTATTTCTATTATTATTGTATTATAACATAGAAGGAAAAAATTATACAACTCATCATGGTGTAGAATCAGTGGGAGCCCTGACCCTGTTTTCCTGCAACTAGATTGTCACATCTTAGGGTGATGGGAGAGACAGTGACAGATCACCAGTCATTAGATTCACATAAGGAGTGTGCAACCTAGATCCTTTGCACGTGCAGTTCACAATAGGGTTTGTGCTTCTATGAGAATCTAATGCCACCGTTGATCTGACAGGAGGCAGAGCTCAGGCAGTAAAGCGAGCAACAGGGAGCAGCTATAAATACAGACGTTTCGCTCGCTGGACTGCCACTCACCTCCCGCTGTGCGGCCTGGTTCCTAATAGGCCATAGCAGACCAGTACCTATCTGTGGCCCAGGGTTAGGGGGCCCTGCATTAATCTTCCCAGAAGTCCTGCAAGATTCATGCACTGCTTTTCCTCATTTCAGCGTAAAGGAACTGAAGCTTCAAGAGGCTGTGAACGCCTGCTATCTCATACAGCTAGTAGAAAACAATCTGGGTTTAACCATACTCTTTGATATAAGAGTATTAAAATATTTGATATGTGAATAGGAACTCAAAAAATACCCAAAGGCAGATGAAATGTCATTAATATTTACTAAGTCTATCTCATGTGCTAAACACCTTCACATGCACTGTCTACTCTAATTCTCATAGCAGCTTTTTGCGAGTATCGTGATGCCCATTTTACAGAGAAGCGGAAGGTCAGAGCTTTAAAATGATTTTTTCAAGGTTTCAGAAACTCTTTGCAAATTTCTTAACATACAGCTCTTTTCCTTTATTTAATGTGTTTGCATAATTGCTTACGATGTTCTCCCCTCCTGGGAATAGTACCCCTCTGTTCATACTATAAATTCTTTCAAATCTTAGCTAATGAAGAAAAAAAATTACACTAGCAGGACTAGCCTACAAATGGTTGTTGCAAGTAAGCACAAAAAAAAAGCTCAGCTTTCTGGCAATCTAGATGAGAGAGAGCGAGAAAGAGACAGAGAGAGAGAAAGAGAAAGAGAAAGCAGTCATTAGTTATCTAAGCTCTTGATAGTAAAAGATAGATTACCAGGGGTATAATATCCTACAATCCCATTCAACAACGAAGCCAGAAGTCAGCAGAGTCTTAATTTCATAGCTCATGCTCCTAAGAAGTTCAGAGACTTTTTACTGAGCTTTTGTCTTAATAAACATAAAATATAGTACATTTTAGGCATCTAACTTTTAACTAAGGGTAGTTTATTTTTATCTATTGTGAAGTAAATAAATCACAATCATTTGGTATCATTTTGGCCAAATGATGGCAGAGTTTGGCATACTCCATCACATTTTATTCATTTAAGATGCAAATTTCTGCCTGCTGAAAAACAGGATGCAAGGAGTTAAATGCATTGTCACTTCTCATTTCTCACAATAATTGTTTGTGTGGAATGCATTTGAAGCCATGTGGCAAGCTTTTGGAAAAATAAATAAGTTAAAGTCCTCAGAAATAATTCCCTCTTTGTTTATGGCAGAAAAATTAGTTTGCAACAGACACAGCTCTTCTTGAAGTATAAATATTGTGAAATTCTCTAAGGTTAGATAATATATATTCCCCTAACAGTGTCCTTACCCCAGAATTAAAAAAAAAAAAAACAAAAAAAACATGTGAACAATTGCAATTTACCCTAGATGCCTTATTAAGGTTACACAGATATGAGATATTTTCTGGTTGACTAATATAATTTTTAAAATTTACGTAATGCTTTTTTTAAGGTAAATATAACATTTATAAGCCACATGCAGTCCCCATGCATTTTTAGACAAAAATTTTATTTTATTAGGCATTTTTAAGAACTTTAGATTTGAATATTCAGTTTATTTCTAGAGAAATATATATACTAACCAAACAGGCCACATGTTAAATATTAAAAATATGATCTGTGAGAAAACATATTGAGAGAAAAAAATCAGAATATTTTGATGTACAATTTAGCACTCTACTTATATTTCTGTTATTTCTACAAAAATATACGACATATGTGCTGACAAAAATGTGTGAGTTATCAAATATTCAATGGGCTAATTTCATCTTCATTTATGGAAGTGACATTTGGGTATAGAGAGGATTACATGATGCATTGAGAGAGTCCTTCAAATTTCAAAATTTTACTTCTACCATGGTATCATTCCAAATAAAGTATCTCTTGTCTGCAAGTTTTCTCCTAGATCAAGTTCGGCAGCCAGGAGTCAGAATGAGAGGACTGAGATAAGGGAGGCATGTAAAACACACTTAAATTATCTACCTGGAAACTCCACAAACCCAGTAAACTTGAAAAAGAAGCTTGATGACAAATTTCTTCACCACTAAGTTCAGAAACAAGACAAGGATTTACCCTCCTACTACTCTTTTTCAACATGGTACTGGAAACCCTCATTAATGCAGGTAGACAAAAAGTGAAATAAAAGGCATACAGATTGATAAGCGAGAAATAAAACTTAATTTTTGTGTAGATGGCATGACTTTCTATGTAGAAAATCCAGTAGAATCAACACAAAACTTCTGGAATTTTAGCAAGGTTTCAGGATATAAGATTAATATATAAAAGTCAGTTGCTTACCTATAAACCAGCAATGAACAAGGAAAAATTAAAATTTAAAACACAATACCATTTATATTAGCACTCTACAAAATGACAGACTTAGAAATAAGACTTAAAAAAATGTACGAGATCTACACAAGGGTAACTTCAAAACTCCAATGAAAGAAATCAAAGAACTATAAATGGAGAGACATTCCATGGTCCTAGATAGGAAGACTCAATATTGTGAAGATGTCAGTTCTTCTCAACTTGGTCTATTGATTCAATGCAATGCCAATCAGAATCCCAGCAAGATATTTTATAATACTGGCAAACTTGATTCTATAATTTATACAGAGAGGCAAAAGACCCAGAATAGCCGACTGGATGTTGAAGAAGAACAAACCTGGAGGACTGGCATTACCCAACTTCAAAGCTTACTGTAAAACTACTCTAATCAAGACAGAGCGGTGTTGGTGAAAAACTAGATAAATTGATCAAAAGAACAGAAAAAAGAGCCCTAAAAGAAGCACTGAATAACTAAGTATAGCAACTGATCTTTGACAAAGGAACAAATGCAATACTATGGAACAAAGATATCGCTTCAACAAATGGTGCTGGGACAACCAGACATCCACATGCAAAAAAGAAAAAAAAATCTAGACACAGATCTTAAAACATTTATAAAATTTTATCCAAAATGGATCATAGATCTAACTATAAAATATAAAACTATGTAACTCCTAAAAGATAACAACGGAGAAACTCTAGATGACCTTGGATATGGCAATTGCTTTTTAGATAAAACACCAAAGACGTGATCCATAAAAGAAATAATTGACAAGTTGAACTTCATTAAAATTAAAAGCTTCTGCTTTGTTGAAGATATTGTCAAGAGAAAGAGAATACAAGCCACAGACTGGGAGAAAATATTTGCAAAACATGTATCGGATAAAGGTATATTCATCCAAAATATACAGATAACACTTAAAATTCAACTATAAGAAAATAAATAACCCAATTAAAACATGGGCCAAATCCTTGACTGATTGCTCACCAAGAAGACACACAGATGGCAAGTAAGCCTGTAAACATAAACATCATATGTCACTAAGAAATTCCAAGTTAAAACAACAATGAGATAAACACCTACCAGAATGGCCAAAATTCAAAGCACTGACAAAAGATATTATTTTGAAAAACAAAGACAAAATTTTAAAAGGCAGATTTATGCTAATTTAATCAAGGCCCCCCAAATAAGATCAGATTAAGACAGAAAATGTTTAATAGTGTGCCCTTATTGCTGTCTTCTACTATGTTTCACACTACCCATAAAAACATCTAAAATATATATTGTTGGAAAATCTGTTGGTATTGGCCTAATACCAATACCGACTTGCAAAATCTGGAATTTTGTTGTCAGAATATGACCCACGATGTAAAATCTCTCTTAATAAAACATCTATCAATGCTGAGGAAACAGGGAGTAGTGCATGAGAACATATATCTCTCAAATGCATGCCTGGCTTGCTTTAGCACAAAGGGAGACAAACCACCAGCCCCAAGAATGATGGGAGAGCTTATGACCAAGCAGGCCCAAAACCCACAGATAACCTGGGCCATCGGCCACTCTGATCATTCAACAGTCTTGATTCTAACAGTTTTTTTTTTTCAAGAAAGAGGGTAACCCTTAAAACTACACAAAATATGAATTTGGAATTAAAGCCTCTACATAAAGCTAGTTTTCTTAGAGGGTTATACCTTCAAGAAAACAAAGCAGTGGGAAAAGAATGTTCACAGTAAAGGAACAGAAAGAAGAAATAAAGAGTGAGAGAAAGCAGGAGAGGGAGGAGGAAGAAAAAGAAGGGTGGGAGGAAGAAGAAAGGGTACAAGGAAGGAAGGAATGAAGTAAAAAAGCAAACTGACTATAAGTTTCCAACAAGAATAAATGTTCCAAGTGCTCCTAACAACACTGAAGTTCTTGGCAAACAGTGGTAGAGTCATCAAAGGAGAAGGAGATGGGGGTCAGAGAAAGGATCTGGAGGCCCAGGTCTCGGCTGCTTCACAGGCCCTACTTGTAGCCACCTTCCTAGGAGATCCCTTAAATAAACTAGGCATTCACTGGGTAAAATTTGTTTAACTGAATTTAAATGCTTGAGCTATCCTCAGAGCTCAGATGGTTCCCCCATTTCTCTGACCACTCTCCTCTGACTGCTAGCCCTGAACTCGACCTGCAGCTTGAAAACCAGGACTTGACAGTCCAATTTTTACATTACAGTCTGGCTATCCAAGAGTGAACTGTGGTTTTCACCAAAAACATGCCCCTGTTGGACTGCCTGTTTCCTGGGTTCCTGTTTCTCTCTTAACCCATCCTAGTGCCCGTCCACCCAGGCAATCCTTCAACTCTAGGCTGTTGCCTTCCATCTGGTTGCCATGCCAACAGCTTAGTCTAAACCCTCATCTAGAACAACAACCCTCATCCTCCCCATTCAGCCTCATCTCTCCAATCCACACTCATCATAATCAATTAATGTTCCTACCAGATTCCTCTTTTTAAACAAGTGAATTTTAAATGTACTTGGAATAAAATTCAAAGTGCTCATTCATTATAATTTCTATCACCTTACAAAAAGCTTATTTGCTTTCCGGATCTATTCATTTGACAATGGTAGGATTTTATCTTCTGCACTTTTCATCTCAATTTCCCGTGAAACATGTTTCCTTTCTATCAAGAAGTAAATCTGAAAATAAGTATTAATCTGTACTTTGTACGATTAAACTTAATTAAAATAAATGTTTAATTTGTTATATTTCTGGCAAAACGTCCCCAAACCTTTCTCTTTATATAATTTTGTCCCACTCCCAAACAAGTGAGCCTAATTTATTTTTTAAATTCCTCATAGTTGAAATCATTTCACAAACTAAAGACAAAAATGGAAGAGACATATCTAATCTTTTCAAAAATTACTTTTTAAGGAGAAAAATAACCACAGAAATCACATTTGATACTTTTGTTTTTCAATCCTTTAAAAACTTAATCTCACCAGAGGGAAAAGGAACATTTACTTTCAGTTACATAGTAACAAAGCTGCAACAGCGAATTATAAATCTCAGCTTTATAATGCTTTAGTTTTAAATAGGACTACAAGATGACAACTACAAGAAAACTGGAAACAATAACCAGTACTGCATAGCTACAGATGACTTATTTACTCTACATGTTAATTTTCAAATTATTGGTAGTATTAGAAAGTAATTTCCATGGCTCTAGCTGGTCTTCACAGTTGTTAATAAAATAAGACGACATGCAATCAATTCGATTAATACTTCTCCCCAATTCCTTGACTTAACGTACATGAATCAGAACAAAAGAACACATGAGGCTGCTCAGCAGTGAAGGCTTTTCAATTCTTTGCCTGTGGTACTTTTCTTTAACCCTTGGATAGCTCCTTCTACTTCCCTTATAGAGGTGTTTCTCTCTTCAATATTCTATTTCTGTCGTTGCTGTAGTCTCATTTTGTTCTTTTAGACTATTCTATCTTGCCCTTAATGTTTCATGATCTATTCTGCATTTATTAGGAGGTTTTCAATTGCAGGTAGGACAAAACCATATTCAGACTAGCTGAAATTATTTCACATTATAAGAATCTGGGCCGGCCGCGGTGGTTGATGCCTGTAATCCCAGCACTTTGGGAGGCTGAGGCAGGCGGATCAGCTGAGGTCGGGAGTTCAAGACTAGCCTGACCAACATGAAGAAACCACATCTCCACTAAAAATACAAAATTAGCTGGGCATGGTGGCTCACATCTGTAATCCCAGTTAGTTGGGAGGCTGAGGCAGGAGAATCACTTGAACTGGGGAGGCTGAGGTTGTGGTAACCCAAGATGGCACCACTGCACTCCAACCTGGGCAACAAGAGCGAAACTCTGCCTCAAAAAAAAAAAAAAATCTGAGGGGTTAGTATCTGCTCCAGGTACATTCCAATCCAATGATGCCACTAAAGATAGAGGTTCTCCCCATCTGCTAGTTGTGCCATTAGCCTCTCTGTGATGGTCACAAGACGGCTACAGCATTTTCATGTCCCCACCCCAAGAGGAAAAAGAGGAGACAGTGTCTTCCTAATTCTCCTTCTACTGAACAAGAAAACACTGTAGAAGATACCAGTTGATTCTGGCTTATGTCTCATAGGCCTGGACTACCACACATACTCTTTTCTAAACCAACATTTGGTAGAGAAAATGGGGTATGATGTTTGGCTTAAACTAACAATTTGGAAGTAGGATAGATACTGGAGAATCAATCTTAAATGTCAACTACAGCTTCTTTTATATCTCAGGAATTATTACACAAAGGTAAGGTAAATAGCTTTTACTTCTCAAAACTTTGTTTGTTTGTTTGTTTGTGACGGAGTCTTATGCTGCCCAGGCTGGAGTGCAGTGGCATGATCTCGGCCCACTGTAACCTCCGTCCCCCAGGTTCAAGCGATTCTCCTGCCTCAGCCTCCCAAGTAGCTGGCATTACAGGCACATGTCACCACGCCTGGTTAATTTTGGTATTTTTTAATAGAGACGGGGTTTCGCCATGTTGGCCAGGCTGGTCTCGAACTCCTGACCTCAGGTGATCTGCCCACTTCGGCCTCCCAAAGTGCTGGGATTACAGGCGTGAGCCAACACACCTGGCCCTTAAAACTTGTTAATTGTTGACTAAGAAAATAAAACCCAGCATACACGATATCTAAGCAAAATTAATGCTTAAAAAGACACCTATTATTTTATGTACTGAATATAGTCCCAAACATTGAAAAACATTTACTATTATTCTATAGGCATTATAATATCATAAATAATGTTTGGAAGACCTTGCCTTCTTAAAAACTGTTCCTATCTGCTACATAGCTATAGTATCAACATTTCTATGTTAATACACGGTTTCACATGATTCCAGAAGTTTGTGAGCTTCTTGGCTGGGGTTATCACACAGAAATCAACTCCAGCTCTACCTTGAGGGAAACATTTGCAAGTATTTTATATACAGATTATCCTGGAGTCACATGCATGGATGCCATTGGATAGAAATTCTGGGTTAATTTCCTCTTTATATAAACAGAAATAGCATATTATTGGTTATTCTCATTGATAGCATTTATTTAAATAATTGTAAGACTATAAGAAGATCAGTAATTACTCACTAGTTTAAAAAAAACACCTGTTCTTGCTGTAACATATCCCAGAAGGGAGGGTAACAAGAATAAATACTTCTCAATAAATAAAATTAACTAAATATATTCACTCTTCCCCTGCACATTTTCACTGGATGGTTTAGCTAAATCAAGAAAGTAAAATACTAGCTCTTGATTCTGAAGACCTTGTGGTTTGAGGTAAAGTGACAAATTCCTTATCACTGTAATACCTGGCTAAGATAGTCAATAAATGTCTGTTAGGATGGAGGCATTTTACATAGGATGAGGCACAGACCTAGTCTTTTTGCTGTGTATCCAGTATATTTATTTGGAACAGTTGTTTCTAAATAAATTCCTGCTTCTTCTAGTCTTCCCTACTGCTTACAATTTGTGCAAAGTTATTTTATTTTTTTCCAAGTTATCATCTCACAATACACAGCTGAATCATAAGCTTAAAGAATACGTAAAGAGACGAAAAACTGAAATTGAAAGACTGAGTAACATATCCCATTTAACAACATAACTAGTCAGAGATAGATCTAGGATTAGAACAGAGCTAATTTGATATTTGATTCATGACTCACGTAATCAATAATTATATGTTGAACACCCACCATGTCAAAAGCACTTCGCTAATAAGCTCTAGGGCTGATTTCGTAAGAACGTACTCACTGGAATTATAAATAGGAGTTTATTGGTGATTATGCTTGAAGTAGAATAATAAGTGTAGAAGCTAGACTTGCATGAGTTGAGGAAGAGATTAAAGACCAAAGACATATAGTCACTGTTTAATTTAAACCATAGAAAAGAATATTACAAGTATTAAATTGCAAATAACAAAACCAAAAATAATTAAAGCATGACCAGAATAGATCTAGTGATGTAGTTCAATGAAAAACACAAAGAATTCCTTTATGGTCAAATTTGGCACTTAAACATATTATTTACATTTTAATGAGAACTTCTGACATTCATGATAATTTACCCAAATTCTGGAAAATACTGAAATACAGAGCTCAAGGTCCCATATTTCACTGTACAGAACCACCTAGCTTCATAATTGTTCTCCTATATTCAGTTAGTAACTATTCTTAAATGGAAAATGCATAGCCTCACCTCTTTTTTCTCTGAAGAATAACTTTGGAGAGCCAATTTAATTGTTTTCTTTGGGAAATTAATTTGAATATAATTACTAGTCATTTCCAAAGACTCCAAAATTTAAAGGAGAAGCTTGTCTGGTGTCACCTTCCCTGTGAACTCTTCCTCCGTCTTCCCAGTCAGAATTAATATTTTCTGCCTCAGGCTCCATAGCTCTGTGCTTGAAATAATTACTGAATTCTGCCTTGTATTCTAATCAGTCCTATACCACAGAGATTTTCTCCAATTGTGACTTCAATTATTTAAATCTCTGATTTTCTCATAAGCACAAAGCTCACATTTTCAGAAATTTCTTTATAAATTATAGGGATACCCTCTGGCATCCTAAGCCCCCCAAGTCCAAAGCAGATTTTAACTTTTTAACTCAACAGCCTATTCTTTTAACAGTCCAGCAAGCACAGCTCTGCTTGATATACAAAAATAAATGAGACCAGTTTCCTAAATTCCATGAGTTTTAGTCTATTCACATAAACAGGGCCATAAACATATCAATGAAAATATAACACAGTAGGTACATAACCCATATGAAGGTGATATCTTTATGTTTTCATCATCTTCACTGTTATTATCAAGAATATAATCATCATCATTGTATTAGTCCATTTTCATGCTGCTGCTAAGGACATAACTGAGATGAGGCAATTTACAAAAGAAAGAAGTTTATTGGACTTACAGTTCCACGTGGGTGGGGATGGAGGACTCACAATCATGGTAGAAGGTGGAGGCATGTCTCACATGGTGGCAGACAAGAGAAGAGAGCTTGTTCAGGGAAACTCCTGTTTTTATATAACCATCAGATCTCATGAGACTTGTTCACTATCACGAGAACAGCATGGGAAAGACCTGCCCCCAGTGATTCAATTACCTCCCACTGTGTCCCTCCCTCCCACAACACATGGGAATTCAAGATGAGATTTGGGTAGGGGCATAGCCAAACCATATCATTCCACACCTGGCCCTTCACAAATCACATTTCGAAACCAATCATGCCTTCTGAACAGTCCCCCAAAGTCTTAACTCATTTCATCATTAACTCAAAAGTCCACAGTCCAATGTCCCATCAAAAACAACGCAAGTCCCTTCTGCTTATGAGACTGTAAAATCAAAAGGAAGTTAGTTACTTCCTAGAAACAATGGGGACACAGGCATTGGGTAAATACAACCATTCCAAATGGGAGAAATTGGCCAAAACAAAGGGGGTACAGGCCCCAAGCAAGTCCAAAATCAAACAGGGCAGTCTAATCTTAAAACTCCAAAATGACCTCCTTTGACACCATGTCTCACATCTGGGTCATGCTGATGCAAGAGGTGGGTTCCCATGGTCTTGGGCAGCTCTGTCCCTGTGGCTTTGCAAGGTACAGCCCCCTCCTGGCTGCTTTCATGGGCTGGCATTGAGTGTCTGTGGCTTTTGTAGGTGCTTGGGGCAAGTTGTCTGTAGTTCTACCACTCTGGGTTCTGGAGGACGATGGCCCCCTTCTCACAGCTCCACTAGGCAGTGCCCCAGTAGGGACTCTGTGTGGGGGCTCTGACCCCATATTTCACTTCTGCACTGCCCTAGCAGAAGTTGTCCATGAGGGCACCACCCCTGCAGTAAACTTCTGCCTGGGCATCCAGGCATTTCCATACATTCTCTGAACCCTAGGCAGAAGTTCCCAAACCTCCATTATTGACTTCCATGCACACACAGGCTCAACACCACGTGGAAGCTGTCAAGACTTAGGGCTTCTACCCTCTAAAATAACAGCCTGAGCTGTATCTTGGCTCTTTTAGCCATGGCTGGAGTGGCTAGAACACAGGATACCAAGTCCCTAGGCTGCACAGAGCAGGCCCGGCCCATGAAACCATCTTTTCCTCCTATGTCTCTGGGCTTGTGATGGGAGGGCCTGCTGTAAAGACCTCTGACAAGCCCTGGAGACATTTTCCCCATTGTCTTGAGGATTAACATTCAACTCCTCATTACTTATGCAAATTTCTGGAGCTGGCTTGAATTTCTCCTCAGAAAATGAGATTTTTTTTCTATCTCATTGCCAGGCTGCAGATTTTCCAAACTTTTATGCTCTGTTTCTTTTATAAAACTGAATGCCTTTAACAGCACCCAAGTCACCTCTTGAATTCTTTGCTGCTTAGAAATGTCTTCCACCAGATACCTTACATACCTCTCAGGTTCAAAGTTCCACAAATCTCTAGGATGGGGAAAAATGCCACCAATCTCTTTGCCAAAACATAACAAGAGTCACCTTTGCTCTAGTTGCTAAGAAGTTCCTCATCTCCATCTGAGACCAACTCAGCCTGGAACTTACTGTCTTATACTGCTATCAGCATTTTGGGCAAAGCCATTCAACAAGTCTCTAGGAAGTTCCAAACTTTCCCACAATTTCCTGTCTTCTTCTGAGCCCTCCAAACTCTTACAACATCTGCCTGTTACCCAGTTCCAAAGTAACTTCCATATTTTTGAGTATCTACAACAGTGCCCCACTCTACTGGTACCAATTTACTGTATTGGTCCATTTTGATGCAGTTGATAAAGACACATCCGAGACTGGGCCATTTACAAAAGAAAAAGGTTTATTGGACTTACAGTTCCAAGTTGGTGGGGAAAGAATCACAATCATGGCAGAAGGTGAAAGGCATGTCTCACATGGCAGCAGACAAGAGAAGAGAGCTTGTGCAGGGAAACTTCTGTTTTTATGTAACCATCAGATCTGATGAGACTTACTCACTATCACAAGAACAGCATGGGAAAGACCTGCCCCAGTGATTCAATTACCTCCTGCCAGGTCCCCCTCACAACATGTGGGAATTCAAGATGAGATTTGGGTGGGGACAAAGCCAAACCATATCAATCATCATCATCATCATCATCATCATCATCATCATCATCATCATCATCCCAGGAAACAGTTACTGAACAATATGCCTCAAGCATTCCTCTACACCTTAATTCCACTCAGTTCTCACAGCTCTAAGAGGCAAGAACTTATATGAGCCCTAATTTTAAAGCTGAAGAAACAAAGGCAAAGAAATCAGTAATTTTCTCAAAATACAGAGCTGATAAAGAGTTTTTAGTTCTTATTAAACTGTTATTTTTTCCATAAGTTATTGAGGTACAGGTGGTATTTGGTTACATGAGTAAGTTCTTTAGTGGTGATTTCTGAGATTTTGGTGTACCCATCACCCAAACAGTATACACTGCACCATATTTGTAGTCTTTTATCCCTTGCCCCCTTCCCACCCTTCCCCCCAAGTCCCCAAAGTCCATTGTATCATTCTTATGCCTTTGCATCCTCATAGCTTAGCTCCTACATATGAGTGAGAATATATGATGTTTGGTTTTCCATTCCTGAGTTACTTCACTTAGAATAATAGTCTCCAATCTCATCCAGGTCACCACAAATGCTATTAATTCATTCCTTTTTATGGCTGAGTAGTATTGCAACATATAAATATACCATAATTTCTTTATACACTCATTGATTGATGGGCATTTGGGTTGGTCCCACAATTTTGCAGTTGCAAATTGTGCTGCTATAAACATGTGTGCAAGTATCTCTTTCATATTATGACTTCTTTTTCTCTGGATAGTTACCCACTAGTGGGATTGCTGGATCAAATGAGAGTTCTACTTGTAGTTCTTTAAGGAATCTCCACACTATTTTCCATAGTGGTTGTACTAGTTTACATTCCCACCAGCAGTGTAGAAGTGTTCCCTGTTCACCACATCCATGCCAACATCTACTGTTTTTTGATTTTTTGATTATGGCCATTCTTGCAGGAGTAAGGTGGTATCATATTGTGGTTTTGATTTTCAGTTCCTTGATCTTAGTGATGTTGAGTATTTTTTCATGTTTGTTGGTCATCTGTATATCTTGTTTTGAGAATTGCCTATGCATGTCCTCAGCCCCCTTTTTTATGGGATTGTTTGTTTTTTTGTTTTTCTCTTACTGATTTGTTTGAGTTTGTTGTAGATTCTGGATATTAGTCCTTTGTCAGATGTATAGATTACAAAGATTTTCTCCCACACTGTGGATTGTCTGTTTACTCTGCTGACAAAGCTTTTGCTGTGCAAAAGCTCTTTAGTTTAAGTCCCAAATATTTTTTGTTTTTATTGAATTTGCTTTTGGGTTCTTGGCCATAAAATCCTTGCCTAAGCCAATGTCTAGAAGGATTTTTCTAATGTTATCTTCTAGAACTTTTATAGTTTCAGGTATTAGATTTAAGTACTTAATCCATTTTGAGTTGATTTTTTATAAGGCCAGAGATGAGGATCCAGTTTCATTCTCCTACATGTGGCTAGCCAATTATCCCAGCAGCATTTGTTGAAAAGGGTGTCCTTTCCCCCAATTTAAGTTTTTGTTTGCTTTGTCAAAGATCAGTTGGCTGTAAGTGTTTGGGTTCATTTCTGGGTTCTCTATTCTGTTCCTTTGGTCTATGTGCCTATTTTTATACCAGTACGATGCTGTTTTGTTGACTATGGCCTTATAGTATAGTTGGAAATCAGGTAGTGTGATGTCTCCAGATTTGTTCTTTTTGCTTAGTATTGCTTTGGCTATGCAGGCCTTTTGTTTTGTTTTGTTTCATATTATTTTTAGAATTTTTTTTTCTAATTCTGTGAAGAATGATGGTGGTATTTTGATGGGGATTGCATTGAACTTGTAGACTGCTTTTGGCAGTATGGTTGCTTTCACAATATTGATTCCAGCCATCCATAAGCATGGAATGTGTTTCCATTTGTGTCATCTATGATTTCTTTCAGCAGTGTTTTGTAGTTTTCCTTGTAGAGGTCTTTCACCTCCTTGGTTAGGTATATTCCTAAGTATTTTATTTTATTTTTTGCAGCTTTTGTAAAAGGGGTTGAGTTCTTGATTTGACTTTCTGCTTGGTCGCTGTTGATGTATAGAAGAGCTACTGATTTGTGTACATTAATCTTGTATTCAGAAACTTTGCCAAGTTCTTTTATCCGTTCTAGGATCTTTCTGGAGGAGTCTTTAGGGTTTTCAAGGTAAATGATCATATCTTCAACAAACAGTGACAGTTTGACTTCCTCTTTACCATTTTGGATGCCCTTTATTTCTTTCTTGTGTCTGATTGCTCTGGCTAGGACTTTCAGTACTATGTTGAAGAGGAGTGGTGAGAGTGGGCATCCCTGTCTTGTTCCAGTTTTCAGAGGGAATGCTTTCAACTTTTTCCCATTCAGTATTATGTTGGCTGTGGGTTTGTCATAGATGGCTTTTATTACATTGAGGTATATCCCTTGTATGCTGATTTTGCTGAGAGTTTTAATCATAAAGGGAAGCTGGATTTTGTCAAATGCTTTTTCTGCAACTATTGAGATGATCATGTGATTTTTGTTTTTAATTCTGTTTATGTGGTGTATCACAGTTATTGACTTGTGTATGTTAAACCCACTTGATCATGGTGGATTATCTTTTAGATATGCTATTGGATTTGGTTAGCTAGTATTTTGTTAAGGATTTTAGCATCTACATTCATCAAGGTTATCGGTCTGTAGTTTTCTTTTTTGGTTATGTCCTTTCTTGGTTTTGGTATTAGGGTGATACTGGCTTCACAGAATGAATTAGCGAGGGTTCCTTCTTTCTCTGCCTTGTGGAATAGTATCAAAAGGATTGGTACCAATTCTTCTTTGAATGTGTGGGAGAATTCTGCAGTGAATCCATCTGGTCCTGGACTTTTTTTTTGTTGCTAATTTTTAAATTACCATTTCAATCTCACTGCTTGTTATTGGTCTGTTCAGAGTATCTAATTCTTCCTGAATTAAGCTAGGAGGGCTGTATTTTTCCAGGAATTTATCCATCTCCTCTAGGTTTTCTGGTTTATGTGCGTAAAGGTGTTCATAGTAGCCTTGATTGATGCTTTGTATTTCTGTGGTGTCGGTTGTAATATTTCCTGTTTCATTTCTTAACAAAGTTATTTTGATTTTCCCTCTTGTTTTCTTGGTTAATCTTGATAATTGTCTATCAATTTTATTTATCTTTTCAAAGAATCAGCATTTTGTTTCACGTATCTTTTGTATTTTTCTTGTTTGCTTGTTTCAATTTCATTTAGTTCTGCTCTGATCTTGGTTGTTTCCTTTCTTCTGCTGGGTTTGGGTTTGGTTTGTTCTTGTTTCTATAGTTACCTGAGATGTGTCCTTAGAATGTCAGTTCATGCTCTGTCAGTCTTTCTGAAGTAAGCATTGAGGGCTGTGAACTTTCCTCTTAGCACCGCCTTTGCTGTATCCCAGAGGTTTTGATAGGTTGTGTCATTACTGTCGTTCAGTTCAAAGAATTTTTTTTTTGAGACAGAGTCTTGCTCTGTCGCCCAGGCTGGAGTGCAGCAGCGCGATCTCAGCTCACTGCAAGCTCCACCTCCTGGGTTCACACCATTCTGCCTCAGCCTCCTGACTAGCTGGGACTACAGGCACCCACCACCACACCCAGCTAATTTTTTTTGTATTTTTTAGTAGAGACAGGGTTTCACTGTGTTAGCCAGAATGGTCTTGGTCTCCTGACCTCGTGATCTGCCCACCTCAGCCTCCCAAAGTGCTGAGATTACAGGCATGAGCCACCACGCCCAGCCCACTTGAAAGAATTTTTTAATTTCCATCTTGATTTTGGTTTTGACCCAATGCTCATTCAGAAGCAGGTTAATTTCCATATATTTGCATTGTTTTGAAAGTTCCTTTTGGAGTTGATTTCCAGTTTTATTCCACTGTGGTCTGAGAGAATGCTTGATATAATTTCAATTTTCTTAGATTTATTGAGGCTAGTTTTATAGCCTATCATATGGTCTATCTTTAGGAAAGTTCCATGTGCTGTTGAACAGAATGTGTATTCTGCAGTCGTTGGATAAAATGTTCTGTATGTATCTGTTAAGTCCATTTGTTCAAGCTATAGTTTAAATCCATTGTTTCTTTGTTGACTTTCTGTCTTAATGACCTGTCTAGGGCTGTCAGTGGAGTATTGAAGTCCCCCACTATTACTGTGTTGCTGTGTATTTCATTTCTTAAGTCTATTAGTAATTGTTTTATAAATTTGAGAGCTCCAGTGTTAGGTGCACATATGTTTAGGATGGTGATATTTGCCTGTTGCACAAGGTCTTTTACCATTATATAATGTACCTCTTTGTCTCTTTTAACTGCTGTTACTTTAACATTTGTTTTGTCTGAAATAAGAATAGCTACCCCTGCCCGCTTTTCGTGTCCATTTGCATGAAATGCCTTTTGCACCCTTTTACTTTAAGTTTCTGTTAGTCCTTATGTGTTAGGTGAATCTCCTAAAGGCAGCAGATGGTTGGTGAGTTCTTGTCCATTCTGTGTTTCTGTATCTTTTAAGTGAAGCATTTAGGCCACTTACATTCAAGGTTAGTACTGAAATGTGATGTACTGTTGCATTCGTCATGCTTTTTGTTGTCTGTGTACTTTGTTGTTGTTGTTGTTGTTTGTGTTTTTTTTTCTTTTTAACATGTATTTTTGTTTTATAAGTTCTGTGTCATTTATGCTTTTTTTTCGGGATTTAATTACTTTATTTTTTTTTAATTATACTTTAAGTTTTAGGGTACATGTGCACAACATGCAGGTTTGTTACATATGTATACATGTGCCATGTTGGTGTGTTGCACCCATTAACTCATCATTTAACATTAGGTATATCTCCAAATGCTATCCCTCCCCCATCCCCCCACCCCATAACAGGCCCTGGTATGTGATGTTCCCTTTCCTGTGTCCAAGTCTTCTCATTGTTCAATTCCCACCTATGAGTGAGAACATGCGGTGTTTGGTTTTTTGTCCTTGCGGTAGTTTGCTGAGAATGATGGTTTCCAACTTCATCCACGTCCCTGCAAAGGACATGAACTCATCCTTTTTATGTCTGCATAGTATTCCATGGTGTATATGTGCCACATTTTCTTAATCCAATCTATCATTCTTGGACATTTGTGTTGGTTCCAAGTCTTCGCTATTGTGAATAGTGCTGCAATAAACATATGTGTTGCAGAAAAGGCCTTTGACAAAATTCAACAACCCTTCATGCTAAAAACTCTCAATAAATTAGGTATTGATGGGATGTATCTCAAAATAATAAAAGCTATCTATGACAAACCCACAGCCATTTATGCTTTAAAGAGGTTCCATTTTGATATGTTTCCAGGATTTGTTTCAAGATTTAGAGCTCCTTTTAGCAGTTCTTGTAGTGGTGGCTTGACAGTCACAAATTCTCTCAGCACTGGTTTGTCTGAAAAAGACTGTATCTTTCCTTCCTATATGATGATTAGTTTTGCTGGATAGAAAATTCTTGGCTGATAATTGTTTTGTTTGAGGAGGCTGAAGATAGGGCCCCAATCCCTTCTAGCTTGTAGGGTTTCTGCTGATAAATCTGCTGTTAATCTGATAGGTTTTCCTTTATTTTCCTTTATAGGTTACCTGGTGCTTCTGTTTCACAGCTCTTAACATACTTTCCTTCGTCTTAACTTTGGATAACCTGATGACAATGTGCCTAAGTGAAGATCCTTTTGCGGATTTCTACCTCCTGATGGTCGTGTTGGTGGCACCGAGTTCAAGAAGAGCACATGGGATGAGAAACATTGTTGAATCTCTCTTTAGAAAATATAATCTTTTACTGAGTCTTGAACAATCAAGTGCCAGTCAACCTTTCCAAGTTTAACTCCAACCTCCAAGCTATTTAAAACTACTTCTTGTAATCTTGCTTATCTCAACAGTCTTTTCTTTGCCTAACATACAGTAAGTGTTCAATATGTGCTTACTGAATTAATAAGGTCATAAACAGCTCCTCCCTCTGCCTGAAATATCTTTTTACACCTATTTTCAAATACTATCCCCTGTGAAAGCCCAGTTCTGACCCTCCTGTTGGAAATATTCTCCCAGGCTGAATAACATTCCTTTCTCTGTACCTCCTTAAAGGCATGAAATAGCACCGAATGATCTCCTAAATCCAGAAGCCAAATCCCTTCTAAATCATGAAATCGTCAGAAGTAACCTATCAAGTTGAAGAAATTCACCCTTTATTTCTAGTAACTTACCAATACGCACTTCTACCTTTCAAAACTGAAAGATACCAGCCTTGAATGAAATTCAATTCAAACAGTTCTCAAGCATCTTCCACATTGCTCAACACTAACAAGATTATAAAAATTAAGGTTCCTGACTGCAAGAGTCTTTAATTTACTAGGAAAGGAGGACCTACATATAAGGAAGCACGCTAAATAAAAAGGAAGCATGCTAAATAAAACAGTTATAGCATACTATAAAGGAGGTGAAGATCAAACAAAGTAGGTCAGATGTATAACCGCATAGTAACTTGCAAATGCCCAGAATCTAGTACTCATTTATTAAAGTTTTATTAGCTAACTGTTCCGTAAAAGAATAAGGGAGAAATGATACATTTTAAACAAAAGTCTTAAAAATTAATTTACACACAAAAGTATATCAGGCTTTGCCAGACACCTACATTCCAGTTCATGATAGTAAGGTAATGTCCATTACAGCACTGATGAACAATTTATTAATCAGTAAGAGAGAGAGTTTTCTGCTAAGCTCTCAGAAAGTCTATACTTAATGGTTTATGTTTCCCTATTTTGCTTATTAATAAAGCAAAGTTGTGGTCTTCTGTAGATCCAACTGCCCTTGAGAACGCTTAGATTACACACACACGAAAAGATGTAGGATTCATTATCCAGAAATTTAATTTTATTGAAATCAAATTTACTTTTTATGAAATAAACCATTTTTTGCAAGTTATTTTTGCAATTACTAGGTTACTTTAAAAATAAATACAGTGATCATAAAACCCAAGAGTGCATGTGAGTAACACTCATATTCAATATGGTAGGTATTTTAAAACCTCTCAATCATAGACATCTTTACAAATTGAATTATTATTCACAGTAACAACTTGCAAGATTTTGTCTTAGTTCCACCAGGAAAATGCCTTGATATGTACTTATATATGATAAACAAAAAGTTGAATAAAGCAAATATATAATTCCTAAAATTGGTAATGCTCAATATCTGTCTTTGACTGTCAGTTCCCGCTACTAGGACCTCAGTGTGGCTCCATTTGCAGCTCTAGGGCTGATATTCAGTTGTCATACATGGGTCTAGCCATAGCAACTGGTAAATTATTGTTAGTAAGTTACTGTTATTATTATTTTAAGGGTTTATATTGGTTAATAAATAGCTGTTGATTTGCTCAGGTTTCATAATTGTTCTCTTGCTGCCCAGGTGCCCTGGTTCATATGCTGAGACACTGTATAACTTTCCCCCTGGAGATCTAATGAGTGACATGGCAGATCCCTGCCCCCTAGCCATGTCCACTCCGATTTGTTGCTGCCTGTACTGTCTTAATTGTTTTAAATAATTTTCACATCACCCATACTCAGTTTCTCCTTCTGATCTTCTCAAATTATTGGCAATGGCCTCATTCCTTACCAGGTTTCACCACTGTTAGTCTTCCCTGGCTTTATACTTCATTTTACCTCTCTTTTATCACCTCTGTGAAATAGAGAGGAGGCAGGAAAGAAACGAAAGCATAAAAAGTGAGTACAGATCTCTCAACCTTTCGTTATTCTTTCAAGAGAGTAACTTGCAGATAAGGAAAGGAAGACCTTGGAACAGATAGTATGATCTACTTCTACTTCATCCAAGTAACGTACTGGGGAAACAGATTGCTTATGAGCCAGCAAAAGAGTGAGAACATGAAAGAAGCACAAAGAGAGACATGAAACCAACATCCTCAGTGTGGTATGGGGCTCAGTGACCCCCAATCTCTGGTGCTGTGCTGCCCCGTCACCCTCTGCCATTATTACTCTTCATGAAAAACTGCTTACTAATGTACTTAATTGACTTACTTTTTCTTTCCAAAGCCAATTAAGCTTGAATGAATATTAATCAATCTTTTTACAGTCTCTGAAGAGCACTGAATAAAATGAAGAGTAATTTCAAAATCAGGATGTGGGGTGCCTAACCCAAATGATAAAAAGAAAGGCCATGCTAATCCTTACCATCCACCAGCAACGATCTTCCAAAAATGCTGTCCCTCTTTGGCATTCCTTAAAATAACATGTCTCTCTAAATTTACTTTCCAGAAACATAGTTCTGGTTACTATTTTCAATAGATCCTACTTGGGAATATCAATGCAACTGTATTTTCTGGGTCTGTCTAGTTAATTTACCATGCATCCAACCTAAAATACTTCTTACTATAAGCATAAGAGGTCTAGTTTAGCGTCTGTGTATGCATATACACATAGGAGGACTGGCTGGGAAAGTGAGATTTCCAAAGGCAATTGTTGAGGTAGGGAAATGCATTTGGTAGCAGCTCTCCTCAGCAGAGAACATCATACATGCAACCAAAGAGGACCCTAACTGCAGAAAGTTAAAAACAACAAAATTCTTTTTAAAAACCTTCAGACTGTATACATATGGTATATACATTAAATTTGTATAAAGTTATGTTCAAAATATATCATCCATGTTGGAGAAGTACAAGATATCAGTACAAGAAATTGCCTAAGATTAGTTCCTGGTATAATCTGGAGATGAATGAGACAAAGGTTGTCATTGGAGATACAACCGTATAATATATATAATTATACACACACACACACACACACACACACACACACACTAGAATTACTAGCATACACTAGATATTTCCTGTATAAATAGGTAGATGATAGATATTATATCAGTTATTGTACAATTATCTTCTTCAGTCTTTAAAATAATCTGCAAGATAGATATTATATATATTTAACAAATGAGGAAACTTGGGATTACAGAGATTAAATAAACTCATAAAACTGGCAAGTATAGGAGTGGAATTTTACAGAGGCGATTGGTTTAGCCTCTCCAAATCTTGATTTTTTGCATGTAAAATGGGGTTCATAATATCCATCCAGTGGCCAGTTCCTGCCAGACTATACTCAGATGATACCATTATGCCATGTTCATCTGGTTTGCCCCCTCAATCATTTCTGCATCTATATGTTCAAGAAAAAAAGAAATAAATAGAGAGACGTCAGCCAATAAGGAGTCGTAAAAGTATTATTTTAGATAAACCAATGAAAGAGACTGACTGTCCTCAGGTTTCAACATAGCACAGACTTAAGCTTTAGATACCAGGAACAGAGAAGTTGCTACAGAATTCCTGGTCCCTCTGGCCTCCCAATGATAGTAGGTATGCTTTCTACCCCTTTGCCCCTGTAATTCTAGTTACTTTATAGGCTGCTAAAAGTAGGGAGAAGGAAATATGAAATGAATTCTAGAAAAGAGTACGCTTGCCTTTGAATAGAAGAAAGAAAATCAAGATGGGGTGTGCAGGAATGAACAATAACAGTAATAATAACTAATATATATTGAGTGCTTACTAAACGCTGGAAACTTTATAGGGATTTGATGATTTCTTCCTCACAATAGCAATTGTTATTACCATCCCCATTCTATAAGGGGAAAGCCAAGCTGACTGTTTTAAGTAACTAGGGTGAGATCTCACAGCTGGTGAGGAGCAGGACCCTGTTCAAAGAGAGGAAGGCTGGCTCTCAAATGTGAACTACCTGTGCTTAAGCCACACCCAATCTCCATTCCACTGTAACTTCAGAGAGCATAAATCCCACTGCAGTATAGGTCTGAAGAAGTAAACAGAAGCATTTTAGGGCTTAAACTGAGAGAGTGGCTCAAAGAAGAGGTAGCTGAATTTGCACTTGAAGGAGTGGAGAGAAGGACTGTAGGCTAAAAGGAAAGCTAATTAGAGGGAAGATAGATAAAGCAAGAGGTCCACATGCCAGCCTGCTCTTTTGACATTGGCTTTTTGCCTAACAGTTGGTGCTTTAATGTGGGGAAGACCCAAATGCCTACATGGATTTCAATGACCTCAATTCTAAGGATATTGGTGTGACCCTCCTTTTTGTGGGTTTCACAACTGATGGAAACAATTACAATATTCGAAGCAACCAAACACTTGAACCCTGTACTCAATATGTGAATTTTGAAAAGTTGTAAGCATAGAGTTCAAGAATTTCATTATCCATTGGAATAAAAGCTGGGATATGAGGAAGGGACTGTCTTAGTACAGTCAGAAATGTACAACAGAGTGCTGAAAAATGTTAAAGAATTCTTCAATACAAGGATGACTGGAAAGGAAGACCCAAAGGAACCAGGTCAAATATATCATTTTTTTCTTATGGAAGAATGATTCTCCAGAGGGAGAAAGAGATGAAGTATATACACCATGGAATACTATGCAGCCATAAAAAGGAATGAGGTCATGTCCTTTTCAGGGACATGGATGAAGCTGGAAGCCATTATCCTCAGCAAACTAATGCAGGAACAGAAAACCAAACATACACGTTCTCACTTGTAAGTGGGAGCTGAACAATGAGAATACATGGACACAGGGAGGGGAACATCACACACTGGGGCCTATCAGGGAAGGCTGGGTTGGGGAGAGCATTAGGGAAAAGAACTAATGCATGCTGGGCTTAATACCTAGATGATGGGTTGATAGGTGCAGCAAACCACCAGGGCATATATTCAACTATGCAATAGACCTGCACATCTTGCACATGTATTCTGGAACATAAAAAATAAACAAAAAATAAAAGCAAGCCATGTGTAAAAAAAAAGTCTGAACTATATACACATTTTTGCTAAGTTGTTTAGGTTTAGGTGTTTTTTTATGTACGTATCTTCACACATATATTCAATATTAAGTTGTCTACTGAAGTGCACATAGTACGGATTTGAGGTAGGAGATTGGTAGGACTTGTTTTTTGGTCACAACCCTGCTGACCAAAACAGGATTTGGTCCCTAGGCAATGAAGTGAAGAAATCAAATTGGCAGGAACCAGCAGACGGCAATGAAAGCCATCCCTAGCTGCTCTCATTGCTCTTTAGCATAAAACATTCCCACTAGCATCATGGCAGTTTACAAATACCATAGCAACAACCAGGAAGTTATCACCCCATTCCACAGCCATGACCCAGAAGTTGCCACTTCTTTCCTAGAAAGTTCTAAATAATGCATCCCTCAATTTGAATTAACCTGCCTTTGAATTTACATGTAATTAAAAATGAATATAAGTAAGTATAAATACAGTTGCCAAGAGCCCATACATTACCAAATCTGGGCACATTGCCTGTGAGTTAGCCCTGTTCTGCAAGGAGTAGTAATGTTCAATAAAAGATTGCTGTCTCATATTACTGGCTCACCCTTGAATTCTTTCCTGGTGAATTCTTTCCTGTGTAAAGCCAAGAACCCTCCTGGGCTAAGCCCCAATTTTGAGACCTGCCTTTCCTGCATCAGGTTCAACTGGGCAGAAGTATAGTTTTACCATTTGTATATAGTTTGTATTTAAGAACTATTGGGCATTAATAAAAAGCAGTGCTTTGACAAGCTGCCTTCAACTGAGCATCAGTAATGCCTAGGGTCTGAATTCTCATTCTTCCTTATAGGTAGTTCCAAGTAGGGGATTTTAATTTTCTGCTCAGTCAGAGCCTACTAATTAAACACAAAACTCTTGCTTTTATCAGCCTTACTGCTTTTGATATCCCTATTGTGTGCTTGGCAGCCTATGCAATATATTTTAATACTATTATTTTTAAAAAGTTTTCAAGAAACAATATAAATAAATGTTCATCTCATAAATATGCGATAAGAACATCTTCCCACAATTAATTTAGCAAAAATATTTTTAGTAAAGGATGTATAATTTTTTAGAAAAATTCATCTGATAGAGTTTTGATAAAAAGTGGCAATCTGCCAAGTGAAGCCTGGTCTATTGTGTCTAGTTTAGCAACAAAACACACAGTTCTTCTAATAGGAACCTAGGATCCTCCAGATAGATCCTGGAGACCTGCCTGAGAACAGTTATTGGTCAACCTGTGTGAATCTACATGAAAGGTACTAATATATCAGCAATGAATAACTTCACCAATTGTATATTTCTAGTATTTCATCATATTAAAAGAAACAATTCCTGAGAGCATTTTGCTTTTAATATTAGTTTTTTCCTTGCAAAAATCTTTCCCTTACTGGAAAAATACTAAATCTGTGGCCTAACTTCAGTTCAGCTACAGTCTTAAGCTGTGCAAGTTTATTGATGTTTTTGAATCTCAGTTACTTCACCTGTAAATGGAGGAACTTGCAATGCTAAGCTGTCAGGATTATTACATTTCTTAAGCAGTATAATATTGAAGTGTTAGTCTTCTCAGATGAATTTTGGACAAATGAAGAGTAAGACAAAAGAATCAGCCTATGAAAGCCTTGATCACTCTGAGTACTGATGAAAATTGGCCTGGAGAATGGGTAGACGGAGATCGATTTCACTTACCTTGTAGCAGGCAGCAATGGACTGGGTAGGTTCCCTCTGCCAGGGCAATGGTTTACACCTAAGTTCAGATCCTGGCCCAAAGCAGCAAAGTCCTTCTTTCTGCAGACAGAGAAAAAAGACGGTCCCTCAGCAGAGCATGCAAGGTTATTCTGCTCACATTTCTTATCAGCTGAGTTCGTCCTCAGCTGAGTGTGTGGGAAGAGTGAGAGAGTACAGTAAGGCCAGGAATGTTGGGATAAAAGTGTCTCCCAGGAAATCAGGAATAGGGAAAAAACATTTTCCTCTGTTTCCCGCCATATCCACTAGGAGGAAGGAGGACCAGTGTTTAGATGAGTGGGTAAGTCCTATTTAGATAAAGCACACTTTTGCATGGAAGCTAAAATGTTTCCTTTGCCATGAAGGCTCTCTGCGAGCAATGAAGCATAGGTATAATAAAGATACTTCAAAGGTACCAGAAGTTGAGTTTAATATCTTACAAAATCTACCTACTATGGGAAGAAAGGGGTCATAACAGAGAATGTGGGAAAAGTTTTCAAAGGAGAAGAGCAAGAAGTTAATGAGGAAAGACAGAGCTCTCTAGGTAGGTAGGTAGGTAGGTATCTGCTGACTTTTTGGAAGTAAAGAGCAATATTGCTGGATGGCTAGAAACATATACTTAGCCAGGGCTCAAGTTCTTGTTCTGTACTTACTAGCTATGTGTGTGTGCTTCCACAAGTTATTTGACATCTTGATATCCTTGAGAGTTAGTTTCCCCATGGCCAAAATGGATCATTACACATTTTACGTCATACAGCCAACTTGTGAATTAAATAAATTAATACACATCATACACTGGGATTAGTGTCTGGCCCACAGGAGTGTGTGAGTGTTAACTAATATTTGATGTTGTACTTGCTTCACAACAACTACTCTGAGCTCCCCTGCACGTGGCTTTCAAAACAACCCAGAAGGGTTTAGAAGGCAAAGAGTAAGATTGAGTTTAAAAAGCAATAGAAACAGCACTGTTGATTGGAATGTAAATTATTACAGCCACTGCAAAAAACAGCATGGAGTTTTCTCAAAAAAACTAAAAATAGAACTACCATATGATCCAGCAATCCCACTATGGGCCACATATCCAGAGGAAATGAAGTCAGTATGTCCGAGAGACATCTGCCCTCCTATGCTTATTGTGGCACTATTCACAATAGCCAAGACATAGAATCCACGTAATTGTCTAACAGTGCGTGAAGGGCTACAGAAAATGTGGTATATATAATGGAATACTATCTAGCCATGAAAAGGAATAAAATTCTGTCATTCATGGCAACATGGAGCTTGGAGAAGATTATGTTAAGTAAAATAAGCCAAGCACAGAGACATAAACACCACATGCTGTCATTCATATGTGGGAGCAAATAAAGTTAATCTCTTAGACCTATAGAATAGAACAGTGGTTACTGAAGGCTGGGAGGGGTAGTGGGTGGGAAGATAGCCAGAGGTTGGTTAATAGATATAAAAGTGCAGCTAGATAGGAAGAATAAGTTCTAGTGTTCTACAGCACTATAGGATGACTATAATAAAACAATTTATTGTATATTTTTACATAGCTAGAAGAGCAGATCTGGAATGTTCTCAACACAAAGACATGATAATGTCTGATGTGATGGAAATGCTAATGTGGACGGATGGATGTGGGCATTACACATTGTATAAATGTATGGAAATATCACACTGTATCCCACTAATATGTATAATTATGATGTGTGAATTAAAAACAATAATAATGGGTCAGGAGCCACAGCTCATGCCTGTAATCCCAGCACCTTGGGAGGCCAAGGGGAAAAATCACTTGAGCCCAGGAGTTTGAGACCAGCCTGGGCAACATGGCACAACCCCGTGTCAACAAAAAATATAATAATTAGCCCAGAATGGTGGTGCACATCTGTAGTCCCAGCTACCTGGGAGGCTGAAGTGGAAGTCAGCCCCGGAAGAATGAGGCTGCAGTGAGCTGTGATGGCACCACTGCACTCCAGCCTAGGTGACAGAGTAAGACCCTGTCTCAAATAAATATAAAATAAATAAATAATAAATACAAAATTAACTGAGCTTGGTGGTACATGCCTGGGGTCCCAGCTACCCAGGTAGCTGAGGCCAAAGGATTGCTTGAGGCCAGTAGTTCCAGACTGCAATGAGCTATGATTGCGCTACTGACTGGGAGACAGAGTAAGACCCCATCTCAAAAGATAAATAGTAATAATAATAATACTAATAAAAGAAACAGAACGTATTCAATTCAAGAGATATTTACTAATCATTAGGTCTTGTGCTTGATACTGCAAGTGTAACAGTCCTTATTTCTGAGAAGCCTCTACTTCTAACAGAGACAGACCAGTGAACAGACCATTACAGAGAAGGAGGATCTCAAGGTCTCTTCCACTGAGACTTGACCTTTGTTTGCTCCTTTCACTTATTTCATAAATAAATTTAGAAACATTGTAACATGACTAGATCTTTCAGCCAAAGAACACTCTTCAGCAGTGCTTAACATATACACAACTGCCACATGTACATAAGACATTCATTTACTCCTGAAGTCACACAAATGAAAACCAGAACTGCCAACTTTGAAGTCAAAACCAATCAGGAATCAATGAAGCAGCAAAAGAAATACTACTTTTAGCTAACATTATTGAGCACTTACTATGTACTCGTACTAAATAGTATGCAACATTTGTTTATGTCCTTAAGCCTCCAAACTACCCTACGATACAATTATTTTCATATTTGCAGAGAGACTAGATAACTTGCTGAAGTTCCCACAGTGAGTAGGGGAAGAGCCAGGACCTGAATCCAGGTAGTCTATTGTTAACATCTGCTCTCTTTAGCACTACCCTCTACTGCATGGGAAGAGGTGAGAACAGATTATTTTTTCCTCCTTCTTCCCATGAGAACTGTCCATATGCCTATCCAGAAACAAAGCCAGAACAATCCACCACCACTTAACAACAAAACATTTTCATAAGTTCTGGATACATGTATCAGAACATGAATACATTGTACACTAGTTCCTCGAATTTAAGAAAATGGAACAATAAAGTAAATGGCCTAATTGCAAGTTATTTTTGGTAACAATGGCCATATATGTCCCCAAGATATTCTTAAAGCCCCCCAAAATAGCAAAAAACATAAAGTATCACTAACTAATCATCTATGACTGATATAAATAGATGATCAGCTCACTGAAGGCAAAAGCTATCCTGTTCCTCTACCTAACTCATGCCTTCCACAAGATAGGTATTGAAACCTTGTTGAAAATGTGTAAAGGGTTAGATGACATTCATTACAGCTCTGTAAGTGATACCAAGAATGAGAAACGAAGTTGTTCCTAACTGACCCCCAATTTTTTTTTTTTTGAGACAGAGTCTCGCTCTGTTGCCCAGGCTGGAGTGCAATGGCGCGATCTCAGCTCACTTGTAACCTCTGCCTCCCAGGTTCAAGCGATTCTCCTGCCTCAGCCTCCTGAGTAGCTGGGATTACAGGCATGTGTCCCCACGCCCGGCTAATTTTTATATTTTTAGTAGCGACAGGGTTTCACCATGTTGGTCAGGCTGGTTTCGAACTCCTAACCTCATGATCTGCCTGCCTTGGCCTCCCAAACTGCTGGGATTACAGGCGTGAGCCACCACGCCTGGCCCCCAAATTTTTTCTTACACAAAAAGAAAGACTTGCAATTTTTATCCTGCCTTTCTCTAGCTGCAGAAGATCGAGGAGAAGTTTGAAAATCCTTATTTGTAACCAGATTTTTATTACAAAAGTAGCATATAAATATAGCTGAAAATATATGGACAGATATAAATTTCAAACCTTCCCAAACGTTCTCCTAACCTATTTTCTAGAAGTAACTACTGACATTAGTTTCTCAACAATTCTTATGCAATTTTATGCATACAAAATGCCTAACAATTTATACAGGGGAAATTGTAACTTAAGTACAGTATATGCTGTACTTTCTTCCCTTTACATTGTGAAGATGTCTTATACCTGTATCAACATCTACAAAACCATCTAATTCCCTTTTTTTTTTTTTTTTTTTTTTTTTTTTTTTTTTTTTGAGAAGGAGTCTCGCTCTGTCATCCAGGCTGGAGTGCAGTGGCGGGATCTCGGCTCACTGCAAGCTCTGCTTTCCAGGTTCACACCATTCTCCTGCCTCAGCCTCTCAAGTAGCTGGGACTACAGGCGCCTGCCACCACACACAGCTAATTTTTTGCATTTTTAGTAGAGATGGAGTTTCACTTTGTTAGCCAGGATGGTCTCGATTTCCTGACCTGATGATCTGCCCACCTCGGCTTCCCAAAGTGCTGGGATTACAGGCCTGTGCCACCCGCGCCTGGCCCATCTAATTCCTTTTTAATTGCTTTAATTCCACAATAGAGATTTACTATAATTCAGTTGGTCCTCTATTAATGAACATTCTGGTTGTGTCCACTGTAATAATACTTTCTGTACCTCTGCTAATACATAAGTAGGAAATCATTCCAGGAGGGGAGTTTGACTTTTAGGAGGAGTTAACGGTTATGTACATTTCATAAATACTTTTAAGCATGTATGTATGTTGGTAGATTCTTTGTGTGGCATCTTGCATGTTAGTATGTTGGTAGGCAATTAGCCAAATGCCTACCCATGAGTTTGCACCAATTTACACTCTCACAAAGAGACTATGAGAGGACCCATTTACCAACACCCTTAGTATACTGGGCATTAACAAACTTGTTTATCTTTGCAAATCAGTGTGTCTTATTTTAATATTCACGTCTTTATTGAGTCATGTGATTGAGTTTTACATGATTACTGACTATTCCTTTAAATGTGAACTGTTTATTGCCTAATTTTCTATTGGGTAGTTTGTATTTATCTTTCTTTTAAGGATATTTTTCTTTTTTTTGTCTTTGTGTTTTGTTTTTTTTTTTTGCAAATATTACCCAAGCATATTTTTGTCATTTGACTTTGTATTTGTAGTAGCACAGCTTTTTTTCTATAAAAAGCAATACAATTTTTCCCTTAGACATGAAGATTTATACATTTGATATGATTGAAAAAAATGATACTATCTTGGATTCATTTTCTTATTATCCTTGTAAGCACTTCAACATTTTATTGTTATCTTGATTGGAATTGCAATGTAGTCATAAAGAATTGACATTTTCACAATACCAAATCTCCCTATCTAAAAACTTGCCATTGTATTGCCAAAGATTCAGCTATTTTTTTAATCTCACAGTGAAGTCTGAAGTGTTTGGTTTTTTTACATGTTTCTGACTGAACTTCTCCTAGGTATTGTATACTTTTTGTTGCTATTGTACATGGAGGCTTTTCTCCCAAAATCTAAGTGTTAATTTCCTGTGTACCTTAAAACTACTAAATTCTGAACAACAATTTTTTTAAGTAGACCATGCACTAAATTCTACTCGGTTTTTCATTTATTTTCAAGGGGTTTTCTGGTTTACTGAAGACTATATTATCTGAAAATAATGATAATATTATACTGAATTTGAAAAACGAATAATATTTTTATTAGGGGTTTCAATGTACCTATCATGCACAAAAATCCTAAAAATAGCTTTGTCTTGTCTCACTTTAATGTCTTAAACAAGGGACTTCTCCTCCATCTATTACTGACTTCACAAAATTCTACCTATTTTGGCTATACTTTTCTATATCGAGTTTCATATGCAAGTGGAAGAAAGAATAGCATAAATATAACAAGAATTTAATATGTTCTGCATCAGCTTTTATTGCTTCTCTCAATAAGTTCTATCTAGAAATTGGAATTGCAATAAATGTCAAAATCTAGGAAATTCAGTGACATAGAGCAAATGGTTCTTCATATTTTCATTTAATCAATATTACTGAATGCGAGGATATAAAGATGAATAACATTTGGCCCCATCCAGGAAATTGTCACCTTTAAGAAGGTAACCTTCCCATTACCGTACGCAGCAGTAGAGGGCAGTGCCACAGGTAATCAGAAACAAAGTTTCTGGTGATGGTGATGAGGAAGCATCAGAGAGCAGAAAGTTCAGGAACACAGAGGTAGGGGAAGATATTCTAAATCAGGGGTTGGTAAACTACAGCTTATTAGCCACCTGTTTTGTAAATAAAGTTTTATTAGAACACAATCACACTCTTTCATTTACCTGGTTTGGCTACTTTCACATTACAACCACAGAGGTGAGTAGTTGCAAGAGAGGTCATATGGCCTGCAGAACCTAAAATATTTACTATTTGGTTCTTCAAATAAAGTTTGCCAATTCTGGTTCTAAATTGTGTCATGATCAAGTTCCCACAGACAGAAAAGAACTCAACATTTTCTATTGTTCTTGTGTGTATGGGCAGGCATCAGGGGATGATGGCTGAAAGTAAAAGGGACTGACACTGGATGGGGTTTGTGGCGGTACAAGTTGAGAGCTAAGAAAGAATGATCCCCTTGTCCCCAGAAGGCACTATGATAAATGAAGACCAAGCAAAGCACAGACCACAGCCAGAGTAAATCCTTGAACACTAGGCTAAACAGTTTAGGTTGCATCTGATAGCAAGAGAGATTTATAGATATTGCTAGAGGGCATGATCAATATAGAAACTGAGAATGACAAATCTGATATTCAAGCATTTGGAAAGAGAAACAGCAGGATGGGAACCTGTGTGTGGGGACGTGGCTTACAGTTTTGTTTCCCAAGCACTTTGTAAGGTGTCTAGCCTACAGTGAGCACACCAAATTTCTCTCCTGCAATGAGTAAAAACAGCAGAGCTATTGCATTAGTTCAGGAGTAAGTTAATGAGAGTACCCCTAGGTAAGTGCTTGGTGGAGACAGAAAGGGAAAACTAATTTTGAGACAATTATAAAGAAACAATACAGACCGTACCTACCAATACTAAAGAATTTGAAAATAACATTGCAAGGAGTATGGCAGATCACCGACTGACAGAAAACATTAGGTGGAAGAGCAATCTTCTAGTGTTGACAGGGTACTCAGTTTAGCATTGTGGAGGTCAAGTTCTAGGAGAGAGCAAAAGGGCTCACTGAAAATTTACATCACGCAGTGGCAAATACAGAGCTAGAGAGGGTTCAAGGCAAAAATCTAAGTGAGGAAATCTCACAGGTGACATAACATGTTTTGGGGAGGCAATCTTTAAGATCAGGAGATTTCAAGTGAAAACCTTTTGCCTTCTTTCTCTTAAAATAATAGGGAGCCAGGTGTGGTGGCTCATGCCTGTAATCCCACCACTTTGAAAGGCCAAGGAGGAACGCTTAAGGCCCGGAGTTCAAGACTAGCCTGGGCAATATAGTGAGACCCTCATCTCTACAAACATTTAAAAAATTAGCCAGGTGGTGGCATGTGCCTGTAGCCCCAGCTACTTGGGAGGATTGCTTGAGCCCAGAAAGCTGAGGCTGCAGTGAGTCATGATTGCACCACTGTACTCCAACCTGGGTAACAGAGAAAGACCCTGTCTCAATAATAATAATAATAAGATTTTGCCAGTATTATACCCTGTTCATGTGTGATGCTGACAATCATGAGCTGAGTAGGGTCTCCCCTTTGGGATGGCTGGATTCCCAGTGTGCCACAGCCCCCACCGTCCCCTCATGCCTTCCCAACACTGAAGCCAAGTGTCATTTGCAATTTATCATTGAGCTGGAATTTACATTTTTCCTTAGTAGAGAAATAGTTTCTGTTCCCTCATCAAGTTCATAATAAATAAGAGAAATGTTCAGCAAAAATCAACTTAACTTCAAGATCTCCATAAATATAGGGATATCCTGTCTTCCTCCATCCAACAAATTTAGACTGGTGAAAGTATAGGCTCATAAAAATGTATGAACTGGAGTTTACTTATAATATTTCCTGTTATATGAGAAGGTTTTATGTTATAGAGGCCTTTTTTATAAGATCCCTTTCAACTTTCCCCTTGCTTCCTCAGAGCACAGCTGCCCAAGGATAGAAGATGTACACGGTGTGTACTCTGTGCCACTGGCTCTGACATATGTCAGTGTGGGATGTGAGTGCCCCTACACAATGCCCACCACTGTCCTGTTCCCATGTTTCACTTTATTTTTCAAAAATAATTTTTAGGGACAAGATTTGCTCTGTTGCCCAGACTGGAGTGCAGTGGTGCCATCATACCTCACTGCAACCTCAAACTCCAGGGCTCAAGTGATCCTCCCACCTTAACCTCCTGAGTAGCTGGGACAACAGTCACACACCACCACACCTAGCTGTTTCTTCCATTCTAATAACAGTGTTCTACACTGTTGGAGTTATATCCTGGTGATGTGGTTTGGATATTTTTCCCTCCAAATCTCATGTTCCAATGTAATTTCCAATGTTGGAGGTGGGGCCTGGTGGGAGGTACCTTATCCTGAGGGCAGTACCCTCATGAATGGCTTATCACCGTCCCCTTGGTGATGAGTAAATTCTCATTCAGTTAGTTCATGGAATACCTGGTTGTTTAAAAGAGTATGGCACCTCCTCTCTCTCTTGCTCCTGCTGTCACCAAGTGGTATGCCTGCTCTCGCTTCACCTTCCATCATGACTGTGAGCTTTCTCAGGCCCTCACCAGAAGCTGAGCAGATGGTGGTGCCATGCTTGTACAGCCTGCAGAACCGTGAACGATTAAACCTCTTTTCTTTATAAATTACTCAGTCTCAGGTATTCAATTATAGAAACACAAGAAAGAACGAATACATCCAGAAACATTTTAAAATAAAGATCTTTTGGAGATCTTGAGGAAAAATTTCAAAGCTGAAAAGACTACACACTTACTTCGTTAATAGCATTATGTTTTTCAACAAAGTCCATTGTGGTTAAATTACTGTTTTCCTTCCTGTACAAAATAAGCTTCCAAGAGAAAGGTAGCCAAATTCATAACTGTGCTAGAAGGAGACAACAATATCCTAGTTGTGTAAAATCCACACTTGCTGCAATATCAAATTGTCATTTTAGCCTATTTAAGGATACTCAGAAACAGGAGCGGTTTGCCAACAACCTGGTTAAGTAGATGGGGAAGAGTCATAATTTGTCTCTACTTTATTAACACCACTTTCTGTTTACTTAGACTCTGTCTCTGAGGTGCTCAAATAATTTTTCAGACAGTATCCAATTAATCTCTAGCTACGTAGGTGGCAGCATTTCAGATTAAATTATCTCTCAGTCACTTCCTCATTAAAAAAGAAAAAAAGATGTCAAGCATATGACAAAGCATCTTGTCAAAATGATTTCACAGTTGAAAAAGCCTTGCAGAAGAAGGGCAAACTACTTCTAGTTGCTCCTGCAAACCCTCTCTTTGGAGGGACAACCATCTTAGGCTCCTTGAGCTCAACCTTATAGGGAAGTCCAATAGTGAAGAGCCTCTTCCAGGACCGTACACAGGAAATGGAGAACCAAAACTGGGAATCCAAGAACAGCATGATTAGCTAATTTTACAGAAGCTACAGAAGAGCTGTTTGGAATTCCAATGAGAGCTTATGACAATGAGAGCTTCTTAACAGTCTTCTACTGGGACAACACTTCTGAACCTCATCTTAGTAAATCTTTAATATCTTCCTGTACAATGAAGGTTAGAATAATTAGAATGTAGAAAATGTAGAAAGAATGTGAAGTAATTTTTTCAAACACTTTATCAAGACTGTTAATTAGGCTATTTTAAACTAGTGTCCTCAAATTATCCCTTTTCCCCTTCATATTTATTTCAGATGGTGATGAACCCAAACCAAAAAGCAACTCTAAAGAGATCCATTTGATTCAAATAGTGTCTTTTACAAACTCGATTGTGAAATCAGAAGCGAATAGCACGGTGGCTTTCTAGTGCAGGAGGAGGGAGAGCAAAATGCTTTAGAAGTATAAGAATACAGTAAAATATTAAAGGCATATCAAAATTTCCGAGGCATTTAGTTTCATATAAACAAAGATGAAATACCATAAATTCTTATCATATTATTCATTCAATCATTTGACAAATATTTACTGACAGTCTACTAATTTCTAGCCACTAAGCTAGGTACCGGCCATAATGGATAAATATGAAAGATATGATACAAAACCATATGAAATTTACAGTCTAAGAAAGAACATAGACAAACCAGCCATTGCAATTCAGTGTAATGAGAGAATTCTACGGTTGAGAGCTAGGTAGGAGTAACCTAGGTATGGGAAGTCAGAGAAGGCTCCCTGGAGGCAGTGGTATATTAATAATCTGAGATACTAAGAGTGACTAGGGGTTAGGCCCGTGAACTGACAGTGAGGAGAAGAGTAGTGATGTGAGAGGTATTCTAGGCGTTAAGGTTATCTTGTTTTTGCTGATGAAAGAAACTATAGCTCAACCAGAATATTTGGCTTTCCAAACACAGTCCTGTGACTTTGCAGAGTAGAAGCTTGAAAACTCTTTTGGTTTCCAGTCTTGTGGGTGCTTTTCTCCCCTAAAGAGCCACAGTGTTTCCCATCACAGTCGCATGTCCACGTGGACAGAAGTTTCAAAAAAAAGTCATGCAGAAAAGAGACATGATATATTCAACAGAAGTGTGTGAAAATGCTTGTTCTAAGAGTAAGCAGAGTGGCTCATAAAAGCATGTGGGTGTCTCTGGGCTGTTACTGTCATACCCGAGGCAGGGGCAGAAGTGCCAGCAGAGGAGAGAAAGGAAAAAACTAAGAAGTTGAGCAAGAACATAGGTGAGGTGTCTGGGAGAATATAAAAGAAGAGAAAATGAAAAAAATAAGCCTTTGTAATAGAAAAAAGAATTGTCTTCGAAACATGCTTCCAAAAAAATATAAATAAAAAAGAAGAAGAACTTCTTGCTGGATTAATCTTCCTAAAGCTATGAAGCTATGTTATGTTTGAAGTTCACCTTGTTCAAAAGTTATCAATCACTTCCCTCCACTCCACAGTACAGCACCACTTACTTTACCAGTTCATTATTTCCCCCAAAAGATTCTATTACTCCAACACATAGCTGTACTTTTCTCCCTCTCCATCTCTGTGGGTACCATTCTTGCTGCCTATAGTGATATACCTTGTATCCCAGCCCCTAGAATAGCACTCATCCAGTAATTAGCTGTTCAAATATCATCTCCCACACTACATGTTATTCTAAGCCATCCTACTTACTTCTGTGTTTGTCTCTTTTACCAATAGTTCAATGAAATTTTGCTCTTCAACATGACCAACGTCCTTTTAATTGAAAGTTCAACAAATATTAGTGCCTACCTATCAGGGAATTGTGCAAGTTCAAAGAAAAGAAAAACATAAAATATGACCTCTATCCCAATAAGTTCATATTGTAAATCCTCAAATTTTGTGCAATAAATCAGCAAAAGTATTTTTTATTTAAAAACTTGGATATTTTTACATTGAAAAAAGCCCTAGTATGTGGAAAAGTGCAAACAGTGCTAACGGAAAGTGAAGTAAAAAAAATAAATAAAGTGCAGTAAAAAATCCCTAACTCACAAATTCTAAAATACGTCTTCCGAAATTTAAAATCTATTAGTAGTCTATACATAGTTAAGAGATATTCTTTATGTGTGTATATCTGTTTATGTCTGTGCATAAAAGCATACATATATGTACATATGCATGTGGAAACATATAGGTTCCTATACTCAACCTGATTTTTTCCATTCAAAATTATATGTCATGAATATTGTTCCAGGTCATCACACTTACATGTATGTACCCCATTCTATTTAACAGCTGCCAAATTCCATTAAATGGAAACACTGTAATTTGTTAAAGTTTCCTATACATAAAATCGTTATTTTCTGTCTTCTGTTCATGTAAATAATGTTAAAATCTTATTTATGCATTTTAGTATACAAGGGAGCAAGAGCTAAAATCCTCACTCTGCAAGTTAGTGGCTGTAGAATATTGCCAAGTTACTTCACTCATCTGAGCCTTGGTTTGTTATAATATTTAGGCTATTGGCCAGGCGCAGTGGCTCACGCCTGTAATCCCAGCACTTTGGGAGGCCGAGGCGGGCAGATCACAAGGTCAGGAGATCGAGACCATCCTGGCTAACACGGTAAAACTCTGTCTCTACTAAAAAAGTACAAAAAATTAGCCAGGTGTGCTGGTGGGCACCTGTAGTCCCCGCTACTCAGGAGGCTGAAGCAGGAGAACGGCATGAACCTGGGAGGCAGAGCTTGCAGTGAGCCAAGATCGTGCCACTGCACTCCAGCCTGGGTGACAGAGCTAGACTCCGTCTCAACAAAAAAAAAAAAAAAAAAAAAAAAAAAATTGGGCTATCGTAGGATTACCTGAGTTAAAATGAATAAAGTTACATTTCGCATTACCTGCCACACAGGAGGTGCTCCAAAAATGGTATCTCTTATTTTTCCAGGACTTCATTAAGTATTACATAAGATACTGTTCATGTGCTATGAATCTCACAGTACACCATTATATACAATCTTTGCACAGGGCTTAAAAGATAGATAAATAAACACATATGTGTATTTCACAAAAAAAGTTCTTTGTTTTTACCTACATAATTACCCTTATTGTTGGTCATTTTTTTTCTCCATGTAGGAGCTTTTCATCTGGTGTAATTTTCTTTCAGCATAAATCACTTTCTTCAGTATTTCATCTTAGTGCAAGTTGGCTGTTGACAAATTATTTTAGCTTTTGTCTGCCTTAATATCTTATTTAATACTCATTTTTTCTAGATGTAGAATTCTAGGTTAACATACCATCTTGGAATGCATAATTATGATTCAGTCAACTACAGATTGCATATATGATGATGGTCCCATAAGATTATAATGGAGCTGAAAATATCTTATTGTCTAGTGACACCATAGCCTTTGTAACATCATAGCACAATTACTTTATTTTTAAAATAAATTTAGTGTAGCCTATGTAGACAATGTTTATAATGTCTACAGTAGTGTACAGTAATGTCCTAAGCCTTCACATTCATTCACCACCCACTCACTGACTCACCTAGAGCAACTTGCAGTCCTGCAAGCTTGATTCACTGTTAGTGTACTTTAGACATGTGCTATTTTTTATATTTTCTACTATATTTTTTACTTTGACTTTTCTATGTTGAGATACACAGATACTTACCATTGTGTTACAATTGCTTACAGCATTCAGCACAGTAACATGCTGCACAGGTTTGTAGCCTAGGAGCAATAGGCTATAACACATAGCCTAGGTTTATACTGGGCTATACCATCTTGGCTTGTGTAAGTGCACTCTATGCTGTTCACCTAATAATAAAATCGCCTAAGAACACATTTCTCAGAACTTATCGCCACTGTTGAGAAAAATACTTTTCCCATGTATTATTTCTCAGCACTTTGAAAATGTGGTTCCAATGTCTTTTGGCTTCCATTGGGTCTGATGTAAAGTTAGCCGTCCTTCTTATCTTTGTTCGCCTACTAATGATGTGTGCCTTTCATTTTCTGGCTGCTTTTAAGATTTTCTTCTCATCTTTGGTTATAGCATTTCGACTATAACGCATACAGTGTGGTTTTCTTTGTATTTAGACTGCTTAGGGTTTCCTGAAGTTATTAGATCTGTAGATTGCTGTCTCTCTGTTTTTCTGTGTGTGTGTGTGTGTGTGTGTGTGTGTGTGTGTGTGTGGTTTTTTGAAATGGAGTTTCACTCTGTCACCCAGGCTGCAGAGCAGAGGCACAATCTTGGCTCCCTACAACTTCCACCTCCTGGGTTCAAACAATTCTCCTGCAAAAGCCTCCCAAGTAGCTGAGATAACAGGTGCCAGCCAACACACCTGGCTAATTTTTGTATTTTTTCATAGAGACAGGGTTTCCCCATGTTCGTCAGGCTGAACTCAAATGCCTAGGCTCAAGTGATCTACCCGCCTCAGCCTCCCAAAGTGTTGGGATTACATTCATGAGCCAGCATGCCTGGCCTGCTGTCTCTTTTTAATTTGTGAAAAACCATAGGCCATCAGTTATTCAAATATTCTTCTTCCTCATTCTGTCTCTCCTAAGGAAATTCTAATTACACTAATTGAGACTGTTTGATACTGTCACCCAGTTCCCAGGCATTCAATTCCATTTTTATACTCTATTTCCTACTTGCATTTTAGCTTAAACAATTTCCATTCACCTATCTTAAAATTCACTCATTCATTCTTCTCATTCATCCATCCATTCCACTATTAAATTTATGGACTGAATTTTCCATATCTTACATCATATTTTTGAGTCTAATATTTACACTGGATTCTTCTTATAGCTTCTGCTGCTCTGCTGAAATGTCACACATGTGTTGATTCACATTGTCTACCTTTTCTGCTACATTTCTTGGAATATTTATTATAGTTATTTAAATTTTTTTTAATCTAATAATACTGGCATCTGTACTATATCCAGGTTTGTGTCTATTGACTGTTTCCTTTTTAGATGATCAAAGTCATTGCTGCTTCAACATTTTGTTAGTGTCTATTTTATGCTGAACACTGTGTTCAAAGAAGAGTTGGGACTGAAAGTAACAACATATTCTCCCAGAAATGAGTACACTCCTTCTTTTGTCAGGCTGCCAGTGTGGGGATGAGTTCATCTTACCTAAATTTGAGCTCTATTTGGGCTTTTTACATCCCTGATTCAGTTAACCACTGAGGGTGAAATCAGGACTTTCCTTTCATCAGAACTTGGGAACTTAGCACCAGCAAGACTCCAGATATTTCTTTTGGCTGAAGCCCACTCAACTGGTTTCCACATTGTGGGAGATCTTTAATTGCTTTATAAACTTGCTATGAGCTCTTAAAGTCACTGGAAAATTCAAGTTCTCTCCAGCCCTACTCCTGGATTATCACACCCTAGGTGCACCTTCTCAGTACTACCCCAGCTTCAATCAGCCTCGCTGTGCAGCTGACCTCAAGGGAATGTCTCTCAGTTTTAAGCAGTTACTTTAAAGCCTTAAGCAGTTACTACTTGTATTTGGTAACTTCCAGAGTACTTCCAAGGGGTTGTACTCAGCTCTCCTGCTCCTCTGCAGCCTTTGGACTCTTCTGCTTTGCACTCAGTGAAGACCTAAAGTTTTCTAAAGGAATTTTGCTCAGCTTCCTCAGATATGTCTCAGATTTTCACCCATGCCCTCGGCCTCATACTGGAAAAGGTTCTGTACCATCAGTGAAGGCCCACTGGAAAAAGTCAATGGGTGGATGCAGACTGATTGTGAAGGTGGGGATCTTCAGGATTCTAAGCCAGTACATGAGCTGTCATGTAGATATTTAAAGTTGATTAAAAGTTGGCTCATTTCTTCTTACCCCTTCAATGTCAGATTCATTTCTCTTGCTGCTTCTCTGAGATCAAAAGCAGCCCAGGGACTCTTAATACATTTCTAGATTTCAGTTCATGTAAGTGTCTTTGCTTTGCCAGGTCTTGAATGGATTTTAAAACCAAGAAGACTTTTCTCGTTGTTAGAAAAACCTTCTTCTTCTATAATTTTCTAAATCTTAACCTAAATTGGAAGTTCCCTAGGCATTTCTCTACATGCTCTCTTTATACTAACTTTGTAGTCCTCAAGATGCTACAGAATTATTGCTAGCCTTGCCTCAATTTTAGAATTGAAAACTCAGGCAAAGAAAGATCAAATATCTTGCTCACTTCATACAGCTAAAAAGTGGTTGAGTCACATATTTAACCTAAGAAGCACTAATTTAATTCACTATTATTCTGTTCGCTTTAATCATATTTTAAGTAATAATGAATTTGGTGGACTTTCATGAAATCATTATGCTACTTTAGCTCAGCAATTTTGCACATGCTGATCCAAAAGCCCAGAATACCCTTCCCTGGACATTTTGTGGGTCTAACTTCCATTTGACTTCCAATATTGTCCTTGTAGTGACCTTGTGTGTCCTCTAATCCCTTGAAAATTATTTTATTTTCCCTGTGTTTCCTGACTTTTGGATTACTCTGAAGTGTATTTTTATTATTTTGTCACCTAACAATGGGATTATTTATTTCAGTTTAAAGGTACTTCTCTGGAAAATATACGTGGAGGTTGAAGAAAACATTGAGCATATTATTTGAAAATGTCATCAACATGCTTTTAAAAAGTAACTTTTAGATAGAGGCTATTTTAATTGGGTTGAAATGATATGTCATCCTTTTTCTCAACATTGCAGATAACCTATATGTAGCAATTTTTATTCACAATTATATCCACATCTATATCTAAATCTTCACTGACACATTTCAAAAGGGAGAGCTCTTTCTCAGGGGATTTTTGCACAGATTTCTGCAATTTGACAACGATGTGAACATAATCAAGTCATTCAGTTTGTTACTAAGAAGGTTTTACAGTGTGAGAAACCAGCAATTTTTTTTTTTTTTTTTTGGATGGAGTCTTGCTCTGTCACCCAGGTTGGAGTGTAATGGCACAATCTTGGCTCACTGCAACCTCCAACTCCTGGTTCAAGCAATTCTCCTGCCTCAGCCCCCCAAGTAGCTGGGATTACAGGCGCCCACCAACATGCCCGGCTAATTTTTGTATCTTTAGTAGAGACGGGGTTTCGCCACGTTGGCAAGACTGGTTTCGAACTCCTGAACTCAGGTGATCTGCCTGCCTCGGCCTCCCAAAGTGCTGGGATTACAGGCATGAGCCACCGTGCCCGGCCAGACCAGCAATTTTATCCACTCATGATGCAGGCCCATGTGGCAGTATAACCATTCATAAGAGTCAAATAATTTCCACTGATAGTTTATTAGGATACAAAAAAAAAACTAACTAGAAAGAAGTAACTGTGCTTTAAGAATCCAAAGAAATTATGTTCATTTTTCTCTCTGCTTTCAGTATAATACCTTATACTAGAAGGTCATTTTTAAAGGAAGACTATTCATGATTGGGGGAGACCAAATGAATGATTTTCTCACAATTCTCAACCACAGAATTACAAATCCACACCATCCACTCCATGGCATTATTTTCAATATTGAAGCTAATAAATTTCCACTATATGTTGAAAAACATACGGACAATCCAAACACTCAGAACTTGTTACTAATAACATAAATAATTTTAATATTATTTTTAGAAGTTTTAGATTTACTGAAAAATTGAGAAGATAATGCAGGTTTCCATATCCCTCTACCAGTTTTCCCTATTATTAGCATGTTACATTAGTATTTGTTGTAATCAATGAGTTAATGTTGGTACATTGTTATTAACTAAAGCCCAATGTTTATTCAGATTTCTTTAGTTTTAAATTCATGCCTTTTTCTATTCTAAGATCCCATCCAGGATACTACATTAGATTTACTTGTCATATATCCCTAGGTCCTCTTGGTTATTTTTGATGACCTCAAAAGTTTTGAGCAGTATTAGTCAGGTAATTTCTTAGACTCCTCTCTCACTACTCATGATTGGAATTTGTCTGAAGTTTTTCTGATTATTAGACTGGGGTTATGGATTTTGAGGATGACAATCCTATAGGTAAAATGTCCTCTTCATCACACCATATCAGGGTACATTCTGAACATAATATAATACTGTTGATGTCAATATAAATATTAATTTTGAACATTATTGTTTTACTAATATAGCTCTTATTTTCTTCAAGTCACATTCTTACTTGAAACTATCCTTCACACATACAACATGGATGGTTTGTTCTTCATTATCCCTTAACCAGACAATACACAATTTTGTCAACTTAATTTTACTTAGGAATTAAATTATTCCATTTTCCTAATTGTTTTTTGTTCTTCACAGACCTTCCTCTTAATTGTATATATATGTCTGGTACTTTGGTCCCCCCAAACAACTAGACATAAAAACATAATTTAATCTTATTCTTGTGAGTAGGAAATATCAAACTAGTTCTGCTTGTGGCCAAAATTTAGAATAGTACTAAGTATTGCAAACTTATTTAGCTGTCTCATTTATTTTTGTTTGATGTAAACACAGTCTACTATTAACAACATATCAGTTCATGATTTTAAAAAAAGTGAATATTTACTCTTCAGTAAAAATCATTTCAGATAATTTTTGGAAGGGTAGTTAGTTTGTTTGTTTTAAATAGGTTCTTTGTATGCAGTAGCCCACCTTCTGCAACAAAATCCACTTATAAGCTGATAGTTGGCATTGTTTCGTTTCACTACACTAAATTAGTTTGAATCAAGTTATTTATTTCCTTTGTCAATAATTACATTACTTCTCAAAGCTGTCTTAATTTTTTGATTATTTGTCTCATTATATTTCCATAATACATCATTCTACAATTAGTATGTATTGAGCATAACTAGACACCAGTCACTATTCCACATGCTGGTGGCATGGTGACAAGAGTGAGAAAAACAAGTTAGCAAACACACAAACATATACACACATATACCCGCATCTACACCAATAATCAAAATATATAGATATACATGATGTATGTGTTACTATAGTACATGCTGATACTCCTTAAAGTGTGTTTCTAATAATTTACTTGTAACAGAGTTATGGAAGTAAAAACAATACTAACTTACAAGTTATGAGGCAAAAGAACTACCAAATTAATTTCCAGAATATTTTTACCAATTTGCAGTTACAATGAAGTTTATGAGAAATATATTTCAACGTAAGTTTGCTAGTTATTTTTTTAAATGCTTTTCTAATTTTATAAGTAAAAGTAACATCTCAGTGCTTTAGTTACTCTTTTTAAACAAGATTGAATATCTTTATATGGTTGATTTTAATTTTATTTTTTCTTTTATACTCTGAAATGTCATTATATATGATAATGCTATGTATATAATATTTAAAAATCCATGCTCAACACTCAGCCCTTCAAATATTAGCACTTTTTCTTGTTTCAGTTATTTTCAAATAAAACAATACAGATTCCACTGAAACCTTCCCTAATACCATTTCTTTCTCAGTTGCTCTCCTCAGAGTAAACACTATCCTAAATTTTATATTTACCTTTCTCAGGCATTTTTTTTTTTGAAATTTACTACAACTCTGTGTATACAGAAATAATACGCATTACTTACATATGCCTTAACAGTGCAGAACTGGTATAATAACGTATTGTGTCTCTGAAAATTCCTCTTTATTTACTTTATTTACTTATTTTTACTAAATGCTTTTGGGAGATACATTTATCCAAGTTGGTGTCACAGCGAACAGGATTCCACAGTAATAAGGCGCCACAGTTTACCTATCTTCTTTTCCAGTGTCATTTGAGTTGTTTCTGGCTTTCATTATTATAAAATTATTATAATGTTGCCATTAAAATATCAATATCAAGGAGTAAAACTGCTTTACTGTACATTGCTAAACTACCCTCCAAATTAGTTACACAAAATTACTTACTCACCAACATTTCCTGAGGGCTCTGCTGCATTACATTCTTGTAGCCATTTGAATGAACTATCACTTATATGAAATGCCTATTCTTTTCTTTCCAATTTTCTCTTGGGATGTCTTTCTCTGGGAAGCTTCAATCTATTCTAAATGCCAATCTAGTTTGGTTATATGTGTTACAGATAAATTTCCCCAGTCTCTGACTTGCTTTTTACTTTCGCAAGTCCTTTTTTTTTTTTTTTTTTCAAATATGCTTACGTTTATTAAGTTAAATGGATCAGTATTTTCTTCTTATGGTGTATTTCTTCCTTTCCCTGAGTTCATAAAGATTTTCTCCTATATTACTTTCATATTTTAAAAGTTAGTATTTAATAGACTTGGGATTCATAGTTAAGTTGGTTTGAGGAAATGGACTAATTTTATTCATTGTGTTTATACATAGCCAGTTTTTTTCCAGCACCATTTAAAAAAACTGTTCTTTTTAAATGCTAATTTGTCACACATCAAGATTTCTTTTTTATCTGAGACTATTACTGATCTTTCTTTGTTATTTCATTGGTTTACTGTATATAACTCAGTACCAATACCATCATGCCTTAATAACTATAGTTTTCTTAATTTTAATTTTAAGTTCTGGGGTACACGTGCAGGATATGCAGGTCTGTTACAAAGATAAACATGTGCCATGGTGGTGTGCTGCACCTATCAGCCCATCACCTAGGTACTAAGTCCAGCATGCATTAGCTATTTTTCTTACTGCTCTCCCCCTCCTCCATCCCACCCCCAACAGGCCCTAGTGGGTGTTGTCCCCCTCCCTGTGTCTATGTGTTCTCATTGTTCAGCTCCCACTTATAAGTGAGAACATGTGGTGTTTGGTTTTCTGTTCCTGCATTAGTTTGCTGAGGACAATGGCTTCTAGCTCCATTCATGTCCCTGCAAAGTTGTTATCTGTAAAAGCAAGTTGTTACCTGCTCTTTAAAAAATTTTGTCTAGTCTTGGCAGTTAAGTTTGCCACATCGGAACAGAATTGCTCTTTTGATGACATTGCTTTTTGCTAACAATGAACATGGCACATCACTCTATTAATTATTTTCAGGAGCTTCCAGCAATGAGGGCTTCCTCTAGAGTGTGGCTACAGGAAGGAAAGAGGAATCACCGAATGTACAATATTAGGTCACCGCAAACACCAAATCTATAAGAAAAATGAAATCATTATATAACTAAATTAAGATACATGATAGAAAACTTCTCAGTACCTATACTTGAGGACAAGAAAGGGACAATCAGGGCTATCTACAAGACGGGATGGGCCAGAAATGAAGCTATTAGAAGAATAATAGAGATATGTAACAAGCTATCTTCCCTGTTCTTTGAGGCTAATAAGCTTGCAATCACTTGTGTCCTATCTGCCTATGAAGTAATACTGGACATCACATAATAAATGCATGGAATGCCAGGAAGTTTTCTGCTGAATATTTGGTTACTCTCAGAGTATTGGAGTCTCCTTCATACAGGCAAGCAACAAAACAAAACAAAATAACAACAACAAAAAAAAAATTGGCGAGTCCAGCACGTGGATAATAACCTGTGTGTGATTTCTCAGGCCTCCCCGCAGTCAATCACACAGGCTTTGCTGGGCAGGCCGCACAGGGAAGCTGCTTCCTGGCTCCAGGTTTGGTGCACAGCCCATGACACACTGTCTCTGATGGGAACTGAAGTCAAGACCTCAGACCTCACTGCACAGCCGTGCTCTCAAAATGGGTGTATTCCTAGGCCCAGAGCCTTCATTCCTAGGTCTCTTCCTCTGAGGCCTTGGGCAGAGATCCTCTTCAGGTGGCTCTGCTGAGACCTCCTCAGTGGGAGAGGAGAGAAGGGGGAAATCTTGAAGATGCTTTCCCCTACTCTCACTCACTACCCAGTATTTTCCCACTCCTAGCCCCTCTTCCTGATCCTGCCTCTGACCTCAGGGTCCATAAAAGTGCCAGTCTTTCGTTCAGGCTCTCTGAGCCATAAGACAACCCCAAGTATGTATGGATCTACCTGTCAACTGTGCGTCATTCCATGGGGAACAATGGACCAGGGGGAGTCAGCGTTTCTCAGGTTTTAACTTCTTGCTTCTACTAGTAACATATAATGTATAATGTAATTAACGTCTTTACTCTGTCAATTGCAGCTTGTAGTTTTGATTTGCTGCTCAACACCTGGCAGCTCAGCTCTCTCCTCTAGCTCAGTTAAGTTCCAGGCACCACTTTTTGATACAAAAAGAAAAAGGCCAGCAACAGTGAAATGTTTAACTAAAATTTACTATCATAAACACTTATTTTGAAATTCTTCAAAAGAAAATTAGTGATTCATTATCTCAATTAACACAGAGAATTTATGAACATTTCTTAGAACTATTTAAGAGATTAGAAAGATACACAGTTTTTGTATATGCAACAGGAAATCTTGTTTCTATAAATGATCTATTTGATACTAGGCTGGAAACTCAGCCCCTTTTCCACTGGAAACTATTTTATTTCACCAGAAATTTTGCAGGAAGTGAATGTAATGAAAAAATTAAAGCCTCTTTATAATTCTTGAACTGAATCCATTCACTTTTTTAGCCAAGTCATCTGTAAACCAGAGCCTGAAGCAAGGATTTAAAAAAAAATACTGACACTTTATTGGGAAGGTGCAATTTGAGGGTGGTGACAGTGAGGAAAAAAGAAAATGAGGCAAAATAAAAACACAAAACAATGCCATGTAATGTGATGTGATGTACTAGCTTCCACTCCACAATGACCTGGGAAGAAACAATGCAGTTGGCTAGACAGATGTGGCCAGTAGGCACTGAGGCTTTCCCAGAAAGACTGCAAGAGGAAATCATACTATGGAACAGTCCGAGGAAGAAGGCAGGGGAAATTGTTTAACTGGTTCCCTCCTGTTTCCAGTTGGTTAAGGTTCACACCACAGTGTGTAAACACCTCCACAATTCTGGGTTGCTTCCCTGGGCCCTTTGATGGTCACTCCACAACCCAGATCCAAGGCCCACACGGTAACATTTTCTGTAAAAGAGTGGGGGGGTGTGAATTTTTCTACTAGGGCCGCCATAGCAAATTACCACAAACTGGGTGGCTTAAAACAACAGAAATGTATCCTTTCCCAGCACTGGTGGCCAGAGGTCCAAAATTAAAGAGTGGGCAGTAGTGGTTTCTTCTGGAGTTCTCAGGGAGAGTTGGTTCTACATTCTCTGAGCTTTTGGTGGCTGCCAGCAACACTTAGTGTTCCTTGGCTCCCAGCAGCATCACTATAGGCTTCCATCTTCACATCACCTTCTCCTCTGTGTTCTCCTCTGGGTCTCAAATCTTCCTCTCCTTTCTTTTATAATAACACTGTCTTTGGATTTAAGGTCCCATCCTAAATCCAGGATGATCTCATCTCAACATCTTTAATTCCATCTACAAAACCCCTACTTCCAAATAAGGTCACATTCACTACAGGGCGAATGGCACAGACAAGGCTCAGTGGGTAGGATGTGAACGTGACACAAACTTAAGCCTTCACCTGAGACTCCAGCCAGTTTATTAAGGGGCTAGGCAGTAAGTCAGGGAAATGCATGGTGGTTTTGAAAAGGAGGCTGTCCAAGGAATCTGACAAAGTGCTCAAGACTGTCAGAGTGCGGTGGCTCATGCCTGTAATCCCAGCACTTTGAGAGGCCAAGGCGGGCGAATCACCTGAGGTCAGGAACTTGGGACCACCCTGGCCAACATGGTGAAACCACCTCTCTACTAAAAGTACAAAAATTAGCTGGGCGTGATGGTGGGTGCCTGTAATCCCAGCTACTCCGGAGGCTGAGGCAGGAGAATTGCTTGAACTCGGGAGGCAGAGGTTGCAGTGAGCCGAGACTGTGCCATTGCATTCCAGCCTGGGCAGCAGAGAGAGACTCCATCTTCATTAAAAAATAAAAATAAAAAAATTTTTTAAAAAAGTGCTCAAGGCTGGTGTCTAAAACATAACCCTCACAACTAACTACCAGCTTGAAGATTTTCATGTGGTAGTAATGATTGTAAAAATAAAGTTTGTTCCTCAAACGTGCATTTGTTAAAAAACCTTCTACGTGCCAGGTACTGAGGATACCAAGATGATTCAGAGACAGACCTTTGGGAGCTCACAGTCCAACCAGCACAGAGAAACATTTAAAATTGAATGGGTTTAATAAATTTCACATACAACGTATGGGAGGAGGGGACAGAGACACACAGGTATGATCAATTCTGGGTGGAGACAGGAAAGTGCGAAGCACTGTAACAGAGATTGTATCATCTGACCCTCTACAATAACCCTATAAAATAAACTAATTTCAGGGGAGTAGATCCGAGACCCAGGTTGAATAAATAATCTAGACTTCCTTGTTGGATAGACATGAATTATAGACTAGAACTCGGGCATTTTGACATCTAGTATAATTTATATTCTTCTTCACTTGCCTTTTATATGAATTAATGACTTTTGGTCTTCCCTTATAAATTTTGGTGTCTATAAAATTCAGCATAATTTTTCCTTTTGTAGAAACATATTAGTCTGTTGGTATTATTTATTAATAATGATCTGCTAATGGATTTATTGACCTTTTGTAGCTTTGTCTCCTGTTTTATTTGAACTTCTAGACATATCTTTCCCAATTTGGCTAGGAGAGTGGACTTACGGAGCCACATAGCCGATGCTGGAGTTCAGGGTCACGCTGAATGCTTGCAATGGTTTTAGTACATAAAAAGATATAAAGTCATTACAAATGAATCATTTAAAGCATATTATGACATTAAATTTGAAGAGAAAATCATAGGACTAATATCTAATTTTCACTGTTTTAAATTTCAATATGTCAAATGCTAAACAGTAAAATGGTATTGCTCTAAATACTTGAGTGCACCATCTAAAGCATAGAATTTAAAGACCTGACTGCTGTTTCTAGAAGTTAACAAAATTCCTCCTAAAATAGCAAATTTCATTCATATAGGATTGGCAACCATCACCTTCATTTTGCCAAAAACATAATGCCAAACATTAACTTCAGCAAATTTAATTTTCCAAGGAAGAAAAATTATACTTTAAAATAAGTACATACTGAGTCATTACTCATAGAAAACATATATTTACCATTATCATGGTAGAAACATATTCCAAGAGTAAAGGCAGATGAGGACATCTCTTTATTTTTTCAAAAGTCAGAAGCTTCTGATAAACCTTAGTAATCATCTTATAGCTTGATATATCTTATTTCTATTATCAATTTAAAAAATGGCATTTTTCAGAAGTGCCAGTGAGAGTCTATTGAGCATTTCTCAATGACTGACCCAAAATGGATGTTTTGAACCCTGGGACAACAGCAGTGAGTCAGAATATGGAGAAGCAGAGATTTATATATGCCTTTCACAAGGAAATCAAAGCCTATTCCATTACTAAGACTAAGTTTTGGAGCTTTTTAAAGAATAAAGTGTAAGGGCCATGTGCTTTTAGCATATTTCCATCTGTTTTAGCACTCAGAGCTCTTTAACACCCTCAGACTCTGAGAAGACAAATGATTACATTTTGTCATCTTTTCCTCTTGGAATAACGTTGGGGGGGGGTAGGGAAAATTGGTGGAGAAAATGATGAATTCTATTTTAAGGATGACACTCGGGAAATACAGAAAATAAAAGTGATCCAACCCTCTAAGCAAGAGAAAAGCATGACATTCATCATAACTCACTTTATCCCAAGATTCAAATTATCCCATCAAAAATGTATGTGCAATTCAGTGACAGCACTATAGCTGTGCACTTTAAAATAAAGCCAATAGGTAAGCTTATAGAATATGTCCACTACCACAGCAATCATATACCCCATTTTTTAAATATCTGTGTATCACTTGCTTAAGAACTCGAGGCGGCCGGGCACGGTGGCTCACACCTGTGATTCCAGCACTTTGGGAGGCCGAGGCAGGCGGATCACGAGGTGAGGAGTTCGAGACCAGCCTGACCAACACGGTGAAACCCAGTCTCTACTAAAAATACAAAAATTAGCCTGGCGTGGTGGCATGTGCCTGTAATCCCAGCTACTCGGGAGGCTGAGGTAGGAGAATCGCTTGAACCCAGGAGGCAGAGGTTGCAGTCAACTGAGATCGCACCAGTGCACTCCAGCCTGGGTGACAGAGCGAGAATCTGTCTCAAAAAAAAAGAACTAGAGGCATTTACACCAAGCGACCTCTACTCATTCAGTCATGATTGAAGCCTCTTCATCACAGATAATTTAAAACAAATATAATTTTTAAAGGAAAAACAAGCACTCAATTTCAATACATGGTTTGTTTGAAGTCCCTAGGGATGGAATTCTTATAGTGAGGGGTCACTGTCTTAACTGCTAAGTGTACGATATTGAAGAAAAAATACAAAATAACCAGAGAAAAATTTAGTATATTTAATAACCTGTTTAAAGCGGACAGCAAAATATTTCCTTATTATTTGAAAAAAATGTATTACTCTTACTCCAGGATGATAGTACCTTTAAGAGTGAATAGGAAAGGCACAACGGCAGGAGTCCAAAAACCTGAACTTTATTCACACTTCTGCACTTCATCATGTAGATGACTATGGAAGATTGACTGAAACCTTTTAGCTAGTTTCTTCATTTGTGTAATACTGATAGTACCATAAGTATTATAGGATTTTTATGTACCCAAATAAGTTTAATAGATATGTAATCTATAATTTAAAATACTAAATGCGGCTAGATACGGTGGCTCATGCCTGTAATCCCAACACTTTGGTGGGCTGAGGCAGGAGGATTGCTAGAGGCCCAGAGTTTGAGACCAGCCTGGACAACATAGCAAGACTCCATTTCTATAAAATTATTATAATATTATAATACATAATAATTGAAAATTAAGAATACTTCTTTTCAGAAATACAGTTGATCCTTAAATAATGTGGGAGTTAGGGGTGGTAACCCCTGCACATATAAATTTTAATTTTTAAATTAAATCTACATATAACTTTTGAGTCCCCCAAAACTTAACTATTGTTTATTGTTAACCAGAAGCCTTATTGATATCATAAACCATTGACTATCATATATTTTGTTTGTTATATGTACTATATACTGTATTCTTACAGTAAGTTAAGATAGAGAAAAAAATGTTACTAAGGAAATCATAAGAAAAAGTACAGACATTTTCTATTGATTAAATTGAAATGGGCCAGGCGTGGTAGCTCACACCTGTAATCCCAGCACTTTGGGAAGCCGAGGCAGGTGGATCACCTGAGGTCAGGAGTTCAAGGCCACCCTGGCCAACATGGTGAAACCTCATCTCTACTAAAAATACAAAAAATTAGCCAGGCGTGGTGGCGGGCGCCTGTAATCCCAGCTACTCAAGAGGCTGAGGCAGGAGAATTACTTGAACCTGGGAGGTGGAGGCTGCAGTGAGCGGAGATCACGCCATTGCTCTCCAGCCTGGGTGACAAAGAGAGACTCTGTCTCAGGAAAAAAATAAATAAATAAATAAAAGGAAATGGATCATCATAAACGTTTTCATCCTTGAAGTATTCCTGTTGAGTAGGCCGAGGAGGAAGAGGAAGAGGAGCAGTTGGTCTTGCTGTCTTCGGATAGCAGGGGTGAAAGAGGTGGAAGAGGTAGACAGGGAAGCAGGGGAGATGTAACTTTTACATACTTGGTACTACGTTTACTGAAAAAAAATTCTCACGTAAGTGAACCCACGCAGTTCAAACCCACGTTGTTCAAGGGTCGACTGGAGGCTTTAGCACTCAGACTCAAAAGTTCGGAATTATATGATAAGGAATTACCTGAACCTAAATCATGTGACCACGAAGATACGAAAGTGGAGAAAGTGACCCCTCACCTTACCCAGTTCCTAGTTTGGCCATGGAAGAGAAGGCAAACCCGACGTCAGTGATGGCAAACAAAGGCAAGACCCCAACACAGAGAAACTAAAGAGCAAACCACTGCCAACACCACATCCAATCTTTCTAAACTGACTGCGTGGCTGTGTCAAAAACTGCTCTGCCTATGGAGGAATATTTCAACTCTTCACCCTATCATTCAAGACTCTTTAGTCCTATTTCATCCTTATAATTTTAGTTTGAATTTTTCTTTACACATATCCTATGTTGTAGCCAAAAAGATTAACTTAACAGATTATAAATATCTCATGCCATTTCCAGATTTTTGCTTTTCTTTGCTATCTCATAAGCCCAGAAAGTTCTCCTTGTTACCTCACTTACCCCCAGAGAGCACAGAGAATAAGCTCTCTGTGAACTGAGAGATGGAAACCTTGTACATCAGCTGGACTGGCCTATCCATGCGTGTTTAATAGATTTGCTCACTGTCTAAATAAAGCTTAGAAAACATCATATCTCCATTTTATATTTTAATCTTATTATTAGACATTTACACAGAAAATTTTGTAGACCCCTAAAAAATTGAATTAGATTTTTGAAAAATAAATCAAATGGGAGGCACAGATTTTGAATTCTCCATGGAGAGACTTTGGCTCATCTCTCTTTTATTTATCCATTCTGCATATTTCAGGGACTTACAAGGCTACACTAGATATTAATTACACCTCTTCTTTTAGGAAGCACAGGGAACATCTCAAACGAAAACATAAATAAGAGACAGGAATCATGACAGTCCTTTCTTTAATAAAAGAGAACAGGACCACCTCAGGGTAGTCAGACTTTTTATGGGGTGGCTTGGCACGTCAAGAATGAGAGCTCCAGGAGAAAGAAGGCAGAAACTGCATGTCACATGAGGCCCAGGACTGGAAATTGGTCCAGTATCCTTCCTGCTCTATCTCAGAACATTCCAGAGCCTGCCCATATGCAAGGGTAGGGGACACCAACATCACCTCTTCATGGGAAGAATGTCAAATAATTTGTGCCTTCAATCCATCACACCTAGAAGTAAACACCAAACTTCAAGTATGCTTATATGGCAGCAGAGTAAGGTTGTTTATGACTTTGGGGACGAAACAGAGGGCGTTCCAGGCAAGAGAGCAATGTCCCCATGGAAATGGAGGCTAGAACGAATTCCCAGTCGCGGGAAGTAAGGTTCACCATAGGAGGTAGAAAAGCCAGACAGAAACAGAGAATGAATGCTGATGAGAAGTGGCAAAATAAGATATACATATGTTCTTAGATTCTATTTGTAAGGGCAGACAGGTGACAGCTGAACTTTTTTTTTTTTTTTTTTTGAGACAGGGTCTCACTCTGTCACACAGGCTGGAGTGCAGTGGCACGATCTTGGTTCACTGCAACTGCTGCTTCCTGGGTTCAAGTGATTCTCATACCTCAGCCTCCCAAGTAGCTGGGACTACAGTTGTGCATCACCACACCTGGCTAATTTTTTTGGTATTTTTTGTAGAGATGGGATTTCACCATGTTGGCCAGGCTAGTCTTGAACTCCCGACCTCAAGTGATCCGCCCACCTTGGCCTCCCAAAGTGCTGAGATTACAGGCGTGAGCCACCATGCCTGGCCGAGAACTGAACTTTTATTTACTGAGTCACTGTGGAAGTAATATTTAAGAAAGACCAATACTGCATGATTTTATTTATATGAGGTATCTAAGATCCTGAAATTCATAGAATAAAATTGTAGAATGGTGGTTGCCAGGAGCTGGCGGGGAGAAAAAATGGGGAGGGACAATCAATGAGCATGAGGTTTCAGTTAAGCAAGATGCATAAGTTGCAGACATCTGCCATATCACATCTTACCTATAGTCAACAATGATGTATTAGAAAAAATGTATTAGAAATGAATTAAAAATGTATTAGAAGAAAAAGAGAAAGAATAAAGATAGGAAAAATACCTAAATGTTAACAGTTAATAATTATGGGGATTATGAGTTCTATTTCCTTTCTTCACATAGTCCTGTATTTTCACAATTTCCTTTGAAAATGTATCAATTGAATAATTAGAAAAAATAAAATGTCATTAAAAAGAAATAAAAAAGATCAAGACAGCAGTGACAGGTTAAAACTAAGACATCTTAGATTCCAAAAGCTCATCCAGGGGGCTTTGAGTCCAGCACAGAATTAGAGTGAGACGGCAGAGGTGCACAGTTCCTGGGGGAAAAGGGCAAAAGAATGAGCAAGGAGGGATAAGGAGAATGAGGATGCAATATTGTCAGGAAAGTCATTCAGGGCATACCCTTTCAGACTCACCAAGAAAATGCATGAAAATTAGATTACATCTAGCAAAAAATTCTGACCTTGGTTTGAAAATAATGCCTCATACAATTCCAATATTAATATACTCACTGGTTATTTATTCATGTATTCACTCTATCTGTATCTATAATATGCCAAACTCTGTGCTAGCTGCTTACTATTATTCATCTCATCCTCAAAACCATTATAAGGAGGTGTGACTATTCCTCACTTTGTTATCTGTGTTGTTCAATCGATTAGTTAGTTATACACAGTCTGGTTTAATATAAAAATGTAGCCATGCATTTTAGCTACATAAAGTAAACTGCCTTTTCTAGAAATTAGGGCTTATAAATTCTTCCCCCTCATATATTTGCTGACTGGTGATCAGAGAATTAATTCTGTCCAGTTGAACTAGGAGTTATATAACAACAAATGTCCGAAATTGATTCTCTAAAATGTCTGCACTAACAGTGTAAGTGTACTTCCCACTATGGAATTTTAAAACTGTGTGCTAATATAATGTGAAGCATCAAGGAAAAAGCTGCAGAAACAGTTGTTAAGTAAACTTGAGCTAGGACGCTAAAATCTCACAAAATTACCTGTAGCTTCAAACATGCTGTATGTACAAAAAGTAAATCTAAGACTTTATTTTACAAATTCTAAAGTTATCTCTTTTATAGTATTTGTAGGTAATTTGATATTAATCATCATTTTGATAACCTAATCTACCAGAAAAGTTAACTTCTAGTCAAATTATTTTTACACGTACCCTGCAGGCAGCTGTAAAAGTGTGAAGGTACAAATTGAAATTCTGTTTTTTACATCCCTGGGATGCATTATATTATAAAAACAAAACAGAAAAGTATTTATGTTCTGGCAGAAGAACAACAATATGAAAAATTTTTTTTTCCTTTTGAGCATTAAGATTCAGAATCATGACTTTTGAAACATACTATCAACTTTGGATAACAAAAACTGGTTCTCGTGGATATGACTAACCTGGTATAACCCAGGGACATTTTCTACTTGCTCCCAAATTTATATAATGAAAAGGAAAATACTTCTGTTCAAATAAAACTGCTTGTGGAATAATAAAATGAATGTATCCTCAGTTTTCAAATTTAGTAAATATCTCCAAATCACCGAAATTCTCACTTTAAGCAAACTCAGCACTTAGACATTTTATGTTTCAGAGAAAAAGATAAAAAATTACAATTATGTAACATTTAAATGAATGCAGGAAACAGAAACTCAGCCCATGAGTAAATTAAAGATAATTTTTTAGAAATAGTATTTATATCCAGCTGAGAGAAGCGGTATTACCCAAGGGTGGAGAGGCCAGAGGACAGGGCCATTGGACGGTCATTTTTTCCTGTCACTTCATTTATTTGCTTTTGAAAGTGGGAGAGAATTGAGAATGCTGAGGGGAAAGAGAGCTAGTCAGAAGGGAGATGATGAAGGAAAGGAGGGCAGAATGTAACCAACCAACATGTCCCCAGAGGAGACAGGAGGAGATGGAATATGCTGACGTCCTGATGTCCACGTTCCTCGGTGGTGAGGAACAGGTAGAAAAATGGGGATAGAAGATGACATTAGAAATCTCCAGGGAGAAAGGGCCCATGTTTGCATTTGCTGGGTCAAATTACATTGCAAATCAACCAGAGAGACCACCAGGGAGCTCATCCTGTCAAGAGAATGATAATTTTTTTTTCTTTGCGTATATGGAGGCACGCACATAAGCACATTAAGATTTGCTTGTACAGAATCTGTGTTAAACATACACATAACAGAAGGAAGATACACGTAAAGGAGCCATAAAGGAAAGTAGAAAGAAAGCCAGTCACCAGTTGTCCCACAATGTAATTTGAATAAATAAATAAATAGAATCAGCTTTTGCAAATTTTGTCATCTTTAAATTATTTCCCCCTGAGCTAGCTTGAGATTCAAACACCCCATCTTCTATGTATATTGACCAAAAACTGCAGCAGTTGATATCTACTCTCAGAAGGATTCATATATGATTTCTAAGTTATAATGCCTTCATTATACTATAAAGGGGAAAAAGCGCATTTAATTTTAAATATAATCTTGATCAGAACCTATAACCCATATAAATCTCTCCTTATTCATTGGCACATGATATCTAGACTTGAAGCATTTGTCAGAAAATATAGCCTTGAACTTTCTTCTCCAAATCCACTAAATCTCATTCTTGAATCAAGCCAAAATAATGAGCTGCATACATGGACCCCGTCATGTTGGCTCTTAGAAGAACTGCTTTGTTGTATTTTTCTTGAATATTAGGCTATAGATCCCAATGGAGGCCATTTTAAGAAAGTCCAGTGAATTTCACTTTTGTGTTTGCTGTATTGCAGATGATACTCATTACTTCACACAATGTCTCTTTATGAGGAACTATGGAAGTTTCTCTCTGAAGCATAGGAATCACTATACATTTGTCTAAGAATCTTTCCTAACCTGAAGAACACTACATTTTATTTTGTATTTTCATTTTTTTGTGTTGATCACTGAAAGACTATAATTTCATTTGTTTCCCACCACTTCTAAGTATACATGAAAATTGATAGTGTTAACTCATTGTTAGCTTCTGCTAATTTTTATATCATTATTTCCCTTATCTACTTTAATCTTACCGTGTTGTACTTTATGTCATTTTGAAAATCACCTTAAATTATCTTTGGAAGAAGGTGTGTAGATTTTTTTAATTGACAGGAATTATAGTGGGTTAAGGAATAATGTCTTCCTTAGATACAAGGATGAATAATATAGAAAGAGGAGAATTGCTCAAAGCAATAATAAAGGAGAAAAAAAATATAAATGCAACCTTGGATTAAAAACAACCTACTAGTTTCACTGGATACCAATCATTCTGGGATGGAGTTTGGTAGCAAATTTATCTCCTAATAGAGAAGGTGTCATTAGCATTCTTCTTAATACCCTGGAACTTCTTAGCAGCAAGCATCAATCCTTAAATTATGATGGGGGAAAAAAAATAGGAGTGGAAGCCCATACTCAAGAAAGGGCAGAGAAGTACAAAAGGTCCACTCTTTACACTCTGGTCCCTTTTATGTTTGGCCTTTCCATTCTTCCCCAATACATACTCCTTACACTTTCTTACAAGCTAATGGATAAATGTCCAGCGCGTCTCCTGTTCCAGGCACATTTCCTCTTCAGAACCTGTTCTGGAGCCGGACTATGATTGTTTCAATCTCAGTTTGACCATTTATTAGCCATGTAACTTTGTGCAAGTTACACAACCATTCTGTGTCTTGATTTCTCCCTTGGTACCTTCCTCAGAGGGCTGTTTGCAGAGTCAAATTAGTATGGGTAAAGCCCCTGAATAGGGCCTAACACAGAGTTAATGCGTGATCATTATTTATTAAATAAAAATGAATACTTCAAATGTTGACAACTTTTAGGAGACAGCTAGCTAATCTCAAAATCCCATCTGTTAATGCATTTACATTACTTCTTCAGGGTATGTGGACATTACTTTTAATAAGAATCGTTTGGAGAAAATGTCAAAAGCTCTCTCACCACTAAGATTTGCTTTATGGCACTGGTAGACAAAACTATCAACTGTGTTAAAATAATTCTAGGTTAGAGAAGAAGAACCTCAGAGAACTACCCATCCTGTCACTCCAAAAAAGGTTCTCTAAATATGAAAATAAAACCATATCTATTAATGAATGTTGCTTTCATTTAAGTATAATTATCAATCTTAATTGAAGATGTATAGCATTCAGTGGAACTCACTTTTATACTTATAACCATTCTTCTTACAAACTAGTGCTTAAAGCAAGTTAAGGATTCTAAGGATGATATTAATATGGAAAGCAAATGAAATGTAAATAATAATAATATACATTCCTTTGAAGACTCCTTTAGACAGGGTAGAAGGAAATTTAAGAGGGTTAAATAGGTCCTTACAGTTACTTTTAAATCCAATGTATTTTCAGCCATATTTTGTTAAAATATAAGTAGAAAATGTAGCAAAACGAATATAAATGATTTTTACATGTTTTTTTTCTTGGCTTTAATTATGACTGTTATTTGAAAATAGGTACTTGATTTTTCATTTAGATTTAGGGACAAAAAGGACTCCAGATTCAAGATGATGGTTAAACTTCATGCTACTTCTTTGGAAATATCTTTCTAGCCACTGGTCTGTGTTACAAAATCCCCTGTCCACCTCTTCCTGTGTCACAGGAAATCCAGAAACCTTGACCACTTGTGGGAGAAGAGCAGTTAATGGTGGAGAATGAGCCCTAACTACAGTGAACATAATTCTTTTAAAAAGACCCCTACAGCTTTGTTCAATACAATGTGCCATTTCATTATAATGAGAGTAAGTAAGACCTGTACATCTAAGGTGCAAGTAGCCGGAAGAGTTCCACCCTGATGGGGGGGGGTCTCCCATTTCTTCTTTCTGCATTCAGATGAGCAGCAAAGTACAGAGTTCTATTTCAGAGTTTTGAGTCTGGATCATTATGCCCATAACAATACCAAGTCAATTTCCTTAATGTTTCTGATGAGGATCTTATGCAGTGAAAACTAATGCAGGTTAAAAAGAAGTATCTTTCAAATCAAAGATTTATGAAGTTTGAAGGTTCCTTCAAAATGCATTCAAGAATCAAATGCTTTGGGTTATAAAGCTTGTACACTGATGATACCTTATGGAATTTAGGCATAATATGCCCTATTATTATAATTATTATGCTTTACTTTATATATCTTCATTCCTACATTAGTTTTAAATATACTCAGCATTTAAATTTATCAGCTTAGTACTAAGATAGTAGGGACTTCCATTTTGGTATAAGCAATATATTTCTTTTTATCTGCAATCTGCTCTATTTCTTAGTTGAAACCACACCAATACAGCCCTGATCACACATTTAGCTCTGCTTCCTAGACACCCACCACTTCCCGAAACACAGCAGCCAGTCATCTTAAAAATATGGGCTTTTGTATCCAGTGGCTTCAGTATGCCTGGAAACACAGTCACATCTGTTCATTAGGAAGTAGATAGTTAATAGATAAAAGTTTATGGTTACCTCTGTCACTTTAAAAACGAGGCCCTTTTCTCGGTTTCATTTTTCTTGATAACGTTTGCCACCACCTAACATACCATACATTCTACTCTTTTCTTATGTACTCTCCCGTATTATGTATTCTTTTCCTTTCTTTTCCCAAGTATAATGTAAGCTTCTTGATAACACTTTTTTTTTTCTTCAGCTACAATTCTTCAGCTATCACTGTGGCCTGTGGCACGTACTTTCCTGAACAACACAAGTACGGCATAACTGAGACTGAATTGAAGCCCACAAATTTCTACCTTCCCATAAGAAACAACTTCCTTCATGGACAGAAACAAGTGATGAAACCATTTCACAAGTTACTTGGTTTGGATCCACATCATAAACCATATTTGAGTCCATCCTTTAAATTAGTTTATAATCTCCTTCTTAAACCACTTTAATTTTTCTCATATCCTTCAAAAGCATTATCAAGCAGTTAATAATTTTATGAAACAAAAGTAACAAATGTATCACTTCTTGATTCTGAAACTGAGCACCTCTGAAGCATGAGTGTGTTGGCCTCAGTCTAGACAGGTAACTTGCTTGCTTTTATCCACTCAAAAGCCCTCAACGTTTATTTTTGTCCCTGGGGAATATGAAAGCTTAGTGCACACTATGGAACTATGGCTTTGCTTGCAAATAGACAAAACCTCAAATTTAAAATCCAAAGCACTAGACAAGAAAGTACCAAACTTGATGCTTTATAGGGCTCTGATCTCATTTATACTATACATATTAAATTGAAGGACATAGTTGGAGCTCTCAAAATAAAGCCTGCCAACACAAATAGAAGACACGTATATAACAATCTGTTTTTTTTCTGGAGTGTAAACTGTATAGATAACACAAGGACACTAAAAAACTACAATCCCAATAAAAACTGCTAATATCTTAGGTTGCTTAGCATATGTCAAGCATCATATTGAGAGGTTTATATGTGTTCTTTCATTAAATCCTCACTTTCAGCCCTTGACTCTATTATTATTCCCAGTTTACAGTTGCGAAAATGGAGGCTTAAAAAGTTAAGTAACCTGCCTATGGCCATACAAAGAAAGGGGCCAATAGGGACCTGAGTGTAGATTCCAATGGTTTCACTGGTTTGACCTGAGAAAGGATGATGCAAACGTCAAAGATGCATCTGGCTGAGGATTTCCGGGGAATGACAGCAACAAGCTGTTTCATCTATGGCTTTCCCTCAGAACTGGAATGCCTGAGGCTTAAGACACCTGACCACAAAGTGGACATGTACATCTTCAAGTACATAGTAAAGATGTTAGAGGTAGATAAGCTGTCAAGTGCAGCTCCTGTGGAAGAAAGGTATGTTTAGTTTTTATACTTGGGTCAGTACAGTGGCCACAGTGGTTTCTGCTCAGAGCTCTCTTCACTAGAACATGCTCTGGGGAAGGGCAATTGCCTGACAGCCTCAAGCTGTTGTACTTTTTGATCCAGTGTGGCATTCATGCCAGGCCACACTCTCTTCCACAGCCCCAGTTCCAAATGTTGCACCCTGGATACCCTCATCCAGGGATCAAGGATGGCAGGGTACCCCAATTGGGCCATTCATGTACACTACTTTGGCATGGAAACTTCCCGTGACATTGTAAGAAACACATACGGTCACGCATCACTTAAGGACCAGGATACGTTCCGAGAAATGCCTCCTTAGATGATTCTGTCATTACGCCGACATCGTAGAGTGGATGTACACAAGCCTAGACGGTGTAGCCTACTACACACTGAGGCTATATGGTATACAACCTATTGCTCCTAGGCTATTAACCTGTACAGCATGTTACTGCCCTGAATAATGTAGGTAACTGTAACACAATGGTAAGTACTTGTGTATCTAAACATAGAAAAGGTACACTAAAAGTTCCTTATAAAAGATAAAAAACGGTTTACCTGCATAGGGCATTTACCTCGAACGCAGCTTGCAGGATTGGAAGTTGCTCTGGGTGAGTTAGTCATGAAACCAGCCCGACTCTCACAGACAGTTGTTTTTGAATAATCATAGAAATTGACCCTTCTGCTGGTAAGGCTTAAAATTTATATTTGTTTTATCAAGGAAAGGACCTTCAGGCCTCTCAAAAAAAGTATCAAAGAACTGAAACTCACCAGGATCACGGCATCAGATGCCTCCTTGCCCCTCCCTAGTTCCTGTTTTCTTACACACTGTTAGGCACTGCCCCCAACTCCCCACTATATAAACCCCTAGTCTTAGGGAAACAGATTTGAGGCTGACCTCCCATTTCCTCGTCTACAGCACCCGATTAAAGCCTTCTTCCTTGTCAATGCTTGTCATCCCAGTGACTGGTGTTTTGGTAACAGTGAGTGAGTGGTGAGTGGATGTGAAGGCCTGGGACATTACAGTATCCTGGAGACTTTATAAACACTTTACACTTAGGCTACACTACATTTATTTAAAATTTTTTTCTTCTTTCAGTAATAAAATTAACCTTAGCTTATTGTAACATTTTTACTTTATAAATTTTTTAAAAACTTTTTGACTCAAACGTAATATCACTTAGCTTAAACACAAACACATGATACAACTGCACAAAAATATTTGGTTTCTTTATACCCTTATACTATAAGCTTTTTTCTATCTGTAAACATTTTTTTAACTTTTTAAACATTTTTGTTAAAAACTAAGACAGAAACACACACCGTAACTTAGGTCTACAAAGGTTCAATGTCATCAATATCACCGTCTTCCCCTCTACATCTTGTTTCACTGGAAGGCCTTCAGGGGCAGTGAACATGCATGGAACTGTCATCTCTTATGATAATGATGCCTTCTTCTGGAACACCCCTTGAGGGACCTGCCTGAGGCTGTTTTACAATTAACTTAAAAAAAAAAAAGTAGAAGGCTGGGCACTGTGGCTCAGGTCTGTAATCCCAGCACTTTGGGAGGCTGAGGCGGGTAGATCACCTGAGGTTGGGAGTTCAAGACCAGCCTGACCAACAGGGAGAAACCCCGTGTCTACTAAAAATACAAAATTAACCAGGCGTGGTAGCGTATGCTTGTAATCTCAGCTACTTGGGAGGCTGAGACAGGAAAATTGCTTGAACCCGGGTGGCAGAGGCTGCGCTGAGCCGAGATCACGCCATTGTGCTCCGTCTCAAAAATATAAATAAATAAATAAAAAATAAGTAGAAAATCCACACTCTAAAATAACAATTAAAAACATATAGTATAGTAAATACATAAGTCAGTAATGTAATAATATATCACCATTACCAAGTATTATGTACTATACATAATTCTATGTGCTATACTTCTATACAACTGGTAGCATAGTAGGTTCGTTTACACCAACCCGTACACATGCACGGGTAGTGAGCTGCTGCTACCACATCACTAGGTGATAGGAATTTTTCAGCTCTGTTATAATCCTACGGGACCACTATAGTTATCTCAGTCTGCAGTTAAGGAAAACAACACTATATGGTATATAATTGTATTTGGTCTCTCCTGTTCCTTGCAAACAGCTCCTACAACTTTTGAAATCTCCAAAGCACTGTGTCTTTTTGTATGCTGAGATGACTGATGGCTTTAGGGTCAGGGAGCCTTAGCACTGGCCTTGTTGCCAGGGTGCCCCAGTGTGTGATTAGAAGATTGGAACTTTTAGCCCCACCTCCTAACCTGGAAAGGCGAGAAGTGCTGAACATCGAGTTGATCACCAATGGCCAATGGTTGAATCACTCACATCTAAATAATGAAGCCTCCATAAAAAAAAAAGAAAAAAAAAAGGACAGGGCTCAGAGAGCTTCCAGGTGCCGGGAAGGTGGCTCGCCTGGAGAGGGCCTGGAAACTCCTCACCCCTTCCTCCACAATTTGTTCTGTGCATCTCTTTCATCTGGCTGTTCATCTGTTTCCTTTTAACAAATGGGTAAGCATAAGCAAAGCACTTCCAGGAGTCCAATGAGCCAATCTAGCAAATAATTTACCTCAAAGAGCAGGTCATGGGAACCCCCAATTTATAGTTATCAGAAGCTCCAGAAGCTCAGACTTGCTATTGTCATTGGAAGTGGGGGAGAGTCTTGTGAGAGTAAGCCCTTCATCTGTGGGATCTGCCACTAGCTCGAGGTGGACAGTGTCAGAATTGAGTTGAATTGTAGGGCCCCCAGTCAGCATCCTCTGGAGAACTGCTTGGTGCTTGGGGGAAACTCCCTACACATTTGAGAGTGTTGAGTGTTGAGGGTACAGTAGGATAAAACTGTTAGTTTATTTTTTCCTACTATTATACACTTCCCATCAACCTGGCTAAGACTTTCTCCTAACTGTGCTGCGGTCTGAGGCTCTCCCATCCTTCATTGCTTCCCCTCTCCCTTCACTGGGGAGCCACCTGTGTTGTGGTTTTGAGGCCTTCCCCACCTACTCTCACTCCCCTCCCCTTTATCCTTCACAGACATCTGCCGCCATCCCAGTGAATTTGTTGTACCTCTAAATCCACCTTGGGATCTGCTGCTCAACAGACATATTTGCTCATGAAAATAACACTTTTAGAGTATTTGCAGTATCTAAGATGGTCTAATAGAATACAAAATTAATGCCTAGTAGAATGCATAATATATACCTACGTGCATCCTTCTTTTTTTAATAGCTAAACTTGTTCATTCATTTTGGAATATATCCATGTTAATTGTATGGAAATACAAAGAGGCAGCATCTTGTTTCTAATAAGACAAGAATGTGTTTGCACAACTGTACAAAGGTGTAGTCATGTATTTAAAATGACAGCATAGATGTTTTCATAGACATTGGTATCCATTTAGATGAAACCATATTAAAGAAATCAATCAATTTCTAAAAAGAGGTATTTTAGCTTAGCTTTTGCTACAACACATGAGATAGCAACAAATCCATTTCCATTTGTTATTTGGAATTAGCTATTATTTTGCATAGATAAACATTGTAAGGTAGGAATAAAAGATGACTACTTTAAAGTTTTACTCTTTCTTTTGTCCTGGAAGTAAAACTGAAATATAATGGAGAGGTCAAATTATCATCACGACAGCATATTGAGCTTGAAGTCTGAAGGGCTTCTGAGCTGAAGTGTCTAGTCTCTCCTAGTCTCTCGTGTCATCCCCCAGCATATAATTAGAAGCAAGCCTGGGCCGGGCGCGGTGGCTCGCGCCTGTAATCCCAGCACTTTGGGAGGCTGAGGCGGGCGGATCACGAGGTCAGGAGATCCAGACCATCCTGGCTAACACAGTGAAACCCCATCTCTACTAAAAATACAAAAAATTAGCCGGGCATGGTGGTGCGTGCCTGTAGTCCCAGCTACTCGGGAGGCTGAGGCAGGAGAATGGCGTGAACCCGGGAGGAGGAGCTTGCAGTGAGCCCAGATCACGCCACTGCACTCCAGCCTGGGTGACAGAGTAAGACTCCGTCTCAAAAAAAATAATAAGAAAATAAAATAAATAAGTAAAAGAAGCAAGCCTAAATACAGAAAGAGTATGTTTTATCTTTTTAACTTTCACTGCTTTCTGAAATAGGAATGAGTTTCTTTTTAAATATAACTGTCAGATATTAATGTAGAGTTCTGTTACAATTTATACTCCCTTTGGGTAACGAATTTGACACATTCATTAATTCTTTGTTTGCAGACATCAAGCAACAGATTCTGATGGGTCTTACATTATCACACTAAGCTTACACCTTGGTGAAATCTATTGGTTACAGTGAAAATTGATATTGGAAGTATTAGAACATACTTAGAATCCTGCTCGATGGTTATTCAGGGAGAGATTTTAAAAACTGGCAATCACCTTTAAAGTCTGGACTTAATGAAGCAATTAATTTCTAGAATTCCTGCGGTCTTTTTCTCATACAGTCTCAACCTCCTGAAGCTGTCACCAGCCACTTATTGCTGTAGATATTCATGGTTGGGTAATAAGAGTAACTGTTAGTTGCTTAATAATAAATAATATTTTTATAGACACAAATTAGAATTAACTTCTACATGGGGCAGGTGATTTTTGTTACATGAGTAGGAACTCAAGCCAAAGTTAAAAATCATTCAGTCAGTAAGTATTCACAATTCTTTTAACATGAGAATAGCTTTTTCCGTCATGTGGCCTAAATGAGGTTGATATATAAAGTACTTGAATTATAACAATAGGATATCAGTATCTATTACATAGTTACAAGAAAGGAATAAAAACCATTTTTAAAGGATGCACCTAATATTTTATGGATAGTATATTTAAGCAGCAATGTTGCATAATGTAAGAATAAATATAGATACAGCATAGTCTGTTTAAAGTGCATATTTTTTATTTAAAAATATATTGCATTTTAATCAAATAGTAACTACTTAAAAATATAATGAAATAGGTTTTCTAAAATAGAGTATTCCATTTTAAAAGGCAGTAGAATTTAAAACAAGATCACATCTTTTATGTATATGTATGTACATTTTTAATTACTTTACTCATATATTTTGCATTCAATAATATTTCCGTGTTAAAATGTGTTTATAAATTTCTTCCCATCCTTTTGCTGGGTGTTTCCCTACTGGTTATTAAGTTAAATATATTTAAAATATCTTATTAAAGTTTGAAATCTGTATTCAGTTGAAAATCTGATTAAAAAAATATGTTCCAGACTGTTTCAAGTGCTCTACATGTGTGAATATGTCCAATCTGTACGGCATGGGTGGAGTGAGCACTGCTATTACCCCGGTACACCAGTGGGGAAACTGAGGCACAAGAGCTGAAGTGGCCCCTCCATGGCAAACCAGATTCTGAGTCCACACTCTGAGCTCCTGAGCCTGTGCTCTCAACACCCTGAGATGTCAGCTCTCCATATTCTTGACCTGATCCATCTCTTCTTGCCTAAATACTAATTCTTGGCAATAACGCTTGGTATTGTCTGATAAAATTTAAAAGTTTAATTCCACAGAATTATAAAAGATAAGCTCTTTTAATTTACTTCAAATTTAGACTACTATAGTGTGGTTGGTTCACTGGGCATTTATTATTATTTTATTTCTTTCTTTTGTTTTTAGGGACAGCCTGGCATCCAGTGGCATGATCATAGCCCACTGCAGCCTCCAACCCCCGGGCTCAAGCAATCCTCCCATCTCAGCTTCCTGAGTTGCTAGGACTACAGATGCATGCCACCACACCTGGCTAAGATTTTAACATTATTTGTAGAGACAGGGGTCTCGCTGTGTTGCCCAGGCTGGAGTGCAATGGCATGATCATAGCTCGTGTCAGCCTTAAACTCCTGGGCTCAAGTGATTCTTCTGTCATGGCCTCCCAAAGTGCTGGCATTACAGGTGTAAGCCACCATGCCTGGCCTTCACTAGGCATTCATTGGGCCTATAACAGACGATGCTCAAATTTAAAACTGATACAGCTCCTTGAACACTGATTTTATGTATTGTGATTTTATGTATTGTTATGTATGTGTGATGAGTCCTGCCCTTGCATGAAAAGCCACAGTGAAAATGGCCATTACTGCCTAGAGCTGGCAGAAGTGCAAAATGATGCAATTTCTCTAGGGGCCCATTTGGCAATATATTTCAAAAGTATAAAAAATGTACGTACCCAGGAATTCTTCTAGGAATTTGTCCTGCACAAATAGTATTAGATCCGGACAAGAATAATTTATAAGAATGTTTTCATGCTTTGCTTATAATATTTTAAGCAGCCCCAATGGCCAAAAAAAAGAGGAGCTATTAATTATGCTATACATCTGGGATGAACTACTATGAAGATCTGAAAATCATGCTTTATAAGAATAAAGATATGAACAAATGGACATGATTTAATGTTAAAAGAGAATATAAAAGTATACAAATAAATTCCTAAGTTGGTTTTTTTGTTACTATTGTTTGTTCTTTGGAGGGGAAATATGAATTTGCAGAAAATAAAACTGGAAAGAAATATGGCAAAATGCTAATGATATTTATCCCTGATTCAAGCAGTTACGATTGATATTTACTTTTACCTTTGTATTTGTGTATTTTTCCACAAGGTACTTAAGTTTCATTTACAATCAATAATATTTTTTAAACAAAAGATAACTAAAAATGCTTTGGAGGAAAACTTCAGAAGGAATGTTTGAAATGAGCATAGAAGGGTAACAAGACTCTCACGGGGAGGAGGAAGGGCAAAACATGTAATCGACAAAGGCAACAACGTGCAAAACGTGTTCTTGACAAAGGCAACTATGTGCAGAAACAGCCATGAGATGCTTAAGGCAGTGGTGTCTACTTCCTATATTGTTAGCTGGTCCAGGGCACCCAGACAATTCTAAATTAAGACAACATAATTTGAAAGCCGGAACTCAACCCCCAGTAATTCACGTTGCTGAAGTGATCACCTTCCTAACACGCAGGGACTTGAATTTAGGTCTTCTTCCAAACCTATGTCTCTTTCCACTCCACTTTGTTACACTGCCTCTATGATACAATTTTATACACACCCACAACATGCATACACACACACGCACACACACACACACACACACCAGAATGTGACAATTCATCCTAAATAGAAAGCTGAGAAAATTAGGTCTCAGCTTTAAGTACAGTAAATACTGTAATTAACTATTATCTTAGTAGTATCTATTCTACTTAATACAAGAGAATTTGGAACCATCTGCAAATTTCACCCTCTACCAGTTTTACTTTCGGTCCAAATCAAAGTTGCTATCTAGATCAACTAGTGGAATAGAGTATAAAAAATCATTTTCTAAATAGTACCCACCCTTCCATTTTTAAAGTCTCCTACAAGCTCATACAATGACCTTCATAGTCACCTCCCTTGCAAGTTTAATGTGTGTTGGATTGTATTGTTCCAGTCTTTATATAGTAATTTTCTTTTGTTCTTTTTCGAAATGATCAGCTAAAACCCACTTTCCTTTAAAAAGACTTGCTTGATTATTGCATTACTAAATACCTACATTGAGTTAAATATGCTAAAATTATAGTAATAATGTCTTTGGGGTTTCACCAGATAAAGTAAATTGAGCTGTCATAAGTCCCCTTAATTTATTTGCACAGCAGAATTGTAAATGCAGCAGAAAACAGCTTACTGTAATGTAAACAGAGTTTTCCATGTTCTGCTCACAGGACAAGTTTATTTAATGTAATATATTACACTCACCCATCATTGCTACCTTTCAGTTTATACTTTTATGGTAACAAACGGTTACAATAAACAGAGACGTTGTGTTAAAATCAAATAGAGGCTAGGTATTCATTCTGTAGTTGAAAAAAATCTGATATTCCACAACTTCATACTTTTTGATACTAAAGATTTTCAGACCACGGTATTCTAAAACTAGAAAAGTCCTCAAATCCTAATGTTGATGTTTGAAGAGTTTTGGTCTAAAGTTTCTGTATCTAGCTCATTGTCTAGTCTCTGTTTTCATGCTGCACCTGATTTTAAGATTGAAAACAAAACAAAACAAACAAACAAACAAAAAATACTAATGGGTGCTTTATAGTAATGATTATTATCAATAGTTCCACCCCTTTTAAATTGCCTTGTAACTACAGCCTACAGCAATATTTTAGTCATGAGGAGAGAAATCTGTTATTATATCATTTTAAATGTTTATAAGAAACTATTTCAGTTTTTAGACAACTTGGGGAACCTTTTCTCATATGAGATAAAATAGAGCTCTATTACAAACTTGATAGAGTGTTCATGTTTTAAAATATCAATTTTCTTTCCCCAAACCTCATAATAAATATTACATGTCATTCCTCAATAACTTCGCACAATAATTCATTAAATCTGAAAAATTATTGAATGGAATCTATTCTAGACTCCAACCTAATATATTAATAATTTAATATGCACATGCTACTTTATATATAATCATTTTAAAGTTAATAATTTGACTAATCAGTGACTAAAACTCCTCCAATCTAGAAAGTGAATTTTATATTGCATCTCCCTTACAGAACCTACAGTGGATATCCTGATGGAGGAAGATTTAGAAAAGAAACATTTATTCAGCATATATTATGTTGCTTACTATTAATGTTGCCATTGTTATCATGTTATCACTATGTGCTAGGCCTTTTCCTGTGTTGTCCCATTTAATCCCCTCAAATCATTTTATAAGCTATGGTCTTCAGTTTAATCATGAGAACAATGAGGCTGAAAGAGGTTGAATAATTTGCCCAACATTATGTCACCGTGAAATGGTAGAACCCAGACTGGAATCCATGTCTGTCTGACCTGAAGTGCATGTTTTGTTGAGGACAAAGTGCTGGATTGGGTTTATTCTCAGCAACGTGGCTGGGATGGATCTAACATTGAATGATGACATATCAAACCCAGACAAAAAACAAGAAGATATTAAAAGGGATGTGGATGCTGAGAAAAATATCCTAATTTATAATGTCAACTTCAATGATGCCTTCTCAATAAATTCAATAAATGTTTTTGTTTGTTTGTTTGTTTGTTTTTTTGAGACAGAATTTCGCTCTTTTCGCCCAGGCTGGAGTGCAGTGGTGCAATCTCAGCTCACCGCAACTTCTGCCTCCCGGGTTCTAGTGATTCTCCTGCCTCAGATTCCAGAGTAGCTGGGATTACAGGCATGTGCCACCACGCCCGGCTAAGTTTTTTGTATTTTTAGTAGAGATGGGGTTTCTCCATGTTGGTCAGGCTGGTCACGAACAATAAATGTATTCTAATTTTATGGCTCTCCTTACCTACTTGAACCAAAAGCTTCTGGTCTGCTAGGTATTTTTGTTTGTTTTCTTGGTACCCAAGTGCTTTTGAAGAAAATAAAACATGCAATTTATTTTCTTCCAGAACTTTCCCTCCTGCCATTCTCTCTCTCTCCCCACATTCTTGAGATATTGTACCAAAATATACATAGAAACTAACTTGTAAAGGTGACTTTACTTAATCCTCTCTTCCTCCGTTTTTTTTCTTATGAAGTTTCTTATGATGTTTTTCTAAAATAATATGTTTAATATTGAGCTGTCATGAACCCCTGTTTTGTTATCTCTAAAAGAAAAATATACTTCCAGCCCTATCTTACAAATTACTGTGAAAAAAACCAAGATGAAATACTTTGGTGAATATTTGAAAATGCTACTCAAAGTTGAGTTGGTGATGAAATTGATTGCACGTACACATGCTCATGAATTAGATTCCAGTTAAATAATATTTGCAAAGTACTGACAAACCAAAAGAAACAAAAATTGCTTAGAGCCCTGTTACTCAAAGATAGCCATTAACAACAACAAAATCCTTTTATTCTGAATATCATTATTTTAACTATTTTAAATACATAGTTTTTGGATCCTGCTTTATTTCTTTAATGATATTTTGTGAGTAATTTCCATGCTCCTAAACAAACATTACTAACATCCTTCTAAATGTTCCCTTAGAACCACTGTTTACCTAACCACTCCCCACTTCTAAATGGATACTTTGATTGCACCAACTTTCCACCACTTCAAATAGTGCTGAAATAAAAATGCACATTGCCTTTATCATACTTAATATTATTTCAGTAGTACAGGCCCTCAAATGTAGACTTTCACATTGCCAAGTTGTTTTTTCAACAGATTGCACCATTTATATTCTTGTTGATCATGCATGAGCCAACCCATTTCACTGGAAATCGACAGTCACTGAAAATATAAAAAATCTGTCTTATTTGCCAAGTGAAAAGGTAGCTCATGATGGATTTAATTTGCATTTCTAAGTTGTAGTGTTTTTGTTTTCCTTTAGACATTTTCATTACTATTTAGTAAATGATCACATACATTGATCACTAATCTATGAGGTGCTTACTGATTTCTTAGCAGATTAAATGACAGCATTATCTACTAAAAACTTTAGTATATGTTTCCTATAGTTTGCTATAAATCATACTTACAGCTTATTTGGCTCCTAATTTGATTTCTTATTCAGTTTGAGAATTGTAAATACTAATGCATTCAACTCTGTTTGTCTTTGTTATTTCTTCTGTCTTGAAGGTTTAGAAAGTGCACACTGGCCAGGCATGGTGGCTCACGCCTGTAATTGCAACACTTTGGGAGGCCAAGGCGGGCGGATCACGAGGTCAGGAGATCAAGACCATCCTGGCCAACATGGTGAAACCCCATCTCTACTAAAAATACAAAAATTAGCCGGGTGTGGTGGTGCACACCTGTAGTTCCAGCTACTCAGAGGCTGAGGCAGGAGAATTGCTTGAACCCGGGAGGCAGAGGCTGCAGTGAGCCGAGATTGCGTGACTGCACTGCAGCCTGGGTGACAGAGCGAGACTCTGTCTCAAAAAAAAAAAAAGTGCACACCATTCAAGATGTCATAATTCATTCAATCTCTTCTTAAATGGGTCAGTACCCTCTGAGTTGGCAGCTTTGCCTCCATTTCCCATTATACTATACTTCATGGCAAATTCTATGTCTTTTATCTCTGGATTCACCCCTGCTGAGTAGATAGCATTCATATTAACTGGCTCAATGGATGGATGATGATAGTAATAATAAGAGCTAATACTATTTCACTTCTTATTAAGCACTATTCTTGAAACAGGGCTCTAACCACTTTTATAAACATTAGTTTCTTGGTGAATTAAATTTTCTATCGTTAACCACATTCCTACAACAATCCTGGAAAGAGAAATCCACCTTCTAAAGTCTCCTTTTCTAATGAAGGAGCATTGGAAGATAATTGTCAAACTTCTACCTCCACACCACATCTTAGACAGTGGCTACACAGTCCACCCGCAACAGAGGCATGTACAAAGTGCTATGAAACATTAATGCCGTCCTGTTTCCATTCCAGCTCCTACTGTGAATCCATTTTCTCACCCCAAGCCCAGATGCCTGAGTCCTGAAACTTCTCTGCCACACGGCTGATCACTCTCTGTTAAGTTCCATATATATTTTCCCTTCATCATTAGAAAGAAAATCATGAGGGTGCTAAGAAGGTAAGTGGGAAAATACTCAGGTAACACCTGGCTCCTGGTATGAGCTCAATCACTCCTAGCCATTCTCATCAACATCATTATTAGACCAGCTAGCATTGCCCATGTATTCATTCTTTCTCCTCTGCCAAGTTAGACACAATTTGGAAGACAACAAAGTATTCCACATGTGCATGGTTCAAATTCCTCAAGTTTCACATATTCTTCAACATTACAATTGGATTATCATTCATTAAGATAATTCCTCCCACACCAATAACCTCATTGTTGCCAAATCCAGTGGCCCACTGCACACAAGGAAACCATCATCTACCACCTGTTGATCTGCTGATCCTCCTCTCTTCTTGTCTTTACTGCCAGAGACCTCAGTGACATCTTTGCTCTTTCTTTTACTATCTCCGCCCCTATGGGTAAATAATCAACAAATCCAACCTCTCTATTTTAGGGAGACACTCTTCCTTTTCTAATCCCACCTCTTAGTTCATCCCATTCTTCTGGGCCACTAAGAAACATACAATATTCTCTGGTCTTTTTAATTTTTTTGTCTTCATCTCGTATATTTTGTATCTGTTTGTTAGTTATTAGATTGGTGCAAAAGTAATCGCGGTGTTTGCCATTACTTTCAATTACTTTTGCACTGACCTAATATAATTCTGATTGTATCATCTAGTGGATTTCCACATTCCCCTCCCCAGGTTCCCTTCCAGTCTTATACCTTCCTTTGAATTCATCATACTTGACTTCTCTCCTTGACAAAGTCCTATTCACCCCTCAGGTCCCAGCTCACCAGGCAGGGCCTCAAATGGTCTCTCTTATTCCCTCCAGCACAAATTAATTGCTTCCTCTTTAATAAATCCCTAGTATTGTATATACTCCTCCATTCAAAACATTCTTTTTATTACAGTTGTGTATGAAATGTCTGCTTCTCCTACTATATTGTAAAATGTGTTGTTTATCTTTGTGTGACCTATGGTAACTCAGTAGAATATGTGTGTTCTTTAACACTTTAAGATCTTATTGTACAAGAGGAAGCAACTTAAAATATATGGAGACAGTTAAAATAGAATAGGATGGACTTTTGTATTTTGTCTGGTGCAGACTAATTCCGTGACTCCTGAACAAAGACCCACAGCCAGCCTCGGGCGTTTTCCTCATGACTAAGGCAGGGTCCTTAAAACGAAGCTGAGAGATTCTTGAAAGGCCCAGAGATGGCACACAACATGCTGAGCCTGGTGCCTGACTCCCAGTACTCAAAAATTGTGACTGCAATTACTAAGAGCAGACACCTCACAGCCTACTTTTTTGGTAAGCATTAAGACAATAAATATAGATGGATTTTGAAAACTATAAAATCTGAAACACATATTTCACACAAAAGAGCCAAAGTAAAATAATTGGGTGAAGGAAGACTCCAATGTGGATTTCAATTCTCTTCTACTGTTTCTCCAATTTTCTCTGATGAGTGAAGTTTCACTCAACTAATTTTGGATATATCTACCCTTCAAGGAGTTAAAATATTATACTGACTAATGCTAAAATGAAGAAAAGTATTTCTCTTAAGATTTTCTTCTCCTAAGCGTTTATATTATACCGACTAATGCTAAAAGAAGAAAAGTATTTCCCTTAAGATTTTCTTTTCCTAAGCGTTTCTTCAGATTCTTCATTAAAGTAAGCACTTTCCAACAAAATAGTCTGGATTTATTATTTCCAGCTTTCCATGTCACAGGCACCTTAAACAGCCGGAAAAATCTTATCCTAGCAGCAGTTTTTCTTCACAGACACTTTGATGTGATCTCTGCAGTTTCAACTTCATTTGTGCTTACATAAATGGAGGTTACTGGAAGTTTTTTTTTCTAGATTTGATGTTCTCATAATTATTTATTTAGAGAAATTGATATCAATTTTGCATTCGTGACATTACAAAGAGAAGCTTCCCTTCGCAAACAGTAGGAAACTTGAATAGGAAATTCTCATTTTAATACCATATCAGGAGACTCTATGACGAAAGACAAATTATACAATCATCAGATTATTCCTCAAACACACAACTGCCCATAAATGACTTTCATCCTCTGTGAACACCAAAAACTGTAATCACACATGAGCAAAGACAAATATTGTAAATTCACTTCAAATATTTTTATGTGAGAACAATTACCTCAGACTTTTGTAATTCACTATTAAATGAAATAAAATAAGCTTTGTTATCTCACTATAAATTAAATACATAAAACCATCAAGCAGTAATAAATACATGGCACAGCCAAATAAAAACGTTAAGGATAGGTGGCTCTATTAAATTAAAATTGGTATTTTATCCTTATTTGTCAGTCCATTTATTAAGACGTCAGACTTGATTAAACTACAGTCATTGTTCCTTCTACCCCATAACACAAGGGCTCGCGCACAGGAACAACTAATGTATCCACTGCCAGACAGAGAAATTCACTCCACACGGAGAATTCACCAGAAAAGACGCTACTTGAGCTCCTAGTGTGAAATGAGCATTTTGTTTCTCCTCTTGTATCTGTTGACTGTGTGAAAATGCTTGAGTATCTGCCACTTCTGGGTCCCTTGTAAACTCAAAATAAGACCTGGGTCATCAGATTAATCAACTTTTAAAAATTCCCTGCTTATATTTTTCTCTTCTCCAGTCAGAACAAAATAGTGAAAATACGCACTCTCAGAACAACCTCAAAGAGTCTGATCCAAATTCCCCACTTACGCTTGAAATTCCCATGGGCAGGATAAAGAAATATCACTGCTTCTGGCCTCACACACTGGCTTCCAGAGACAGTTCACATCTTTCACCCTGAAAATTTTTAAACTCTTAAAGAAAAAAAAAAAAGGGTTTTCTCTACCTATGCATGCATCAAGAACTAACATGTATTTTGGCCGGGTGCAGCGGCTCACGCCTGTAATCCTAACATTTTGGGAGGCTGAGACGGGTGGATTGCCTGAGCTCAGGGGTTCAAGACCAGCCTGGCCAACCTGGTAAAACCCCATCTCTACTAAAATACAAAAAATCAGCTGGGCGTGGTGACAGGTGCCTGTAATCCCAGCTACTCAGGAGGCTGAGGCACAAGAATTGCTTGAACCCAGGAAGCAGAGGCTGCAGTGAGCCGAGAATTAAAACTATCTCAAAAAAAAAAACCTAACGTATATTTAAACTGTCTTTAATGACAAACAATATTAGACAACCTCCTGACGCTGAACCCTGCTGTGGAACTGAAGCATTTGAGAAGAGATACATATTATGTACATTTTGAAAATTAGTATGTGGTCTATCTCCTTTCTAGGTATAAATGAAAATCAAATAATACTGAATGCTTAAAACATAAATCATGTATTTGGAATTTTATTTTAATGTCTCTTAAACATATATTTGCTATCAAAGACTTTTAAATACTTCACATCTGTGCTTGGAAAAGTGAGGCAATAGTTCAGCTGATAAGAAGTGTATGGATTCTTACACACACAAACAGCTTTATAACAAATTGGTCACAGCAGGTTTGAAGCAGAATTTTGTTTCACTTATAATTAGTAGCTACAACTATAAAAAATTGGCAAAAGCCTTTCCCAGTCTCCTCCAAGGGCTTATTTGAAAGAATCTTCAGTGCCTTATTTTATCACAGGTCAGAAATGAGTTAACATTTACATTGTCTATGTCCATGGACCTTTCCAAAATGTGCTAACAGTTGGTTTTGTCCACCCCTCTCCTACATATGAACAAAGTCAGTCTCTTGGTTTGCAGACAGATATGTGAACTATAGATCTGTTAATTCCTACACCCTAAATTTGCAGATGCAATTCTTTTCAAATGTAGACAAATATTGGAATTTCTGTATGAGAAATGAAGCAATGGAAATGTCACCTCACCCTCTGACCTTTTATAGGGACAAAAGATATTAAAACATCTTAGTAGATACTGATGAAAGGTACAATAGTCTAAGACCTTACTTAGAATGGCACAGAAAAGCATGCAAACGAGCTCCAATTTAGGTAATGACTGTGTTATTGTTTGCCTTTTTCTTTTGTCTCACTTTTGGTTAACTTAACCAGAAACCAGCAGTTCTAATAACTTTTCCAATTATAAGCGTGCCTTCCCATTTTTTCCACTTCAGATCTATTCATCAGCAAATAATGATGCGTACCTTAAATCATAGCCAATAGTTTTAGAATTTTACAATCCCTCCATTAGTTAATAATCACTATGAGGAGACTCCATTTTTAGCTTATTTTTCCATTTCTGCCCTCAATCTGCTGGTTTATGAATTTAACTGTCAACACTAAGAGCACTAAGTAATCAAAAGACTGTCAAAATGATACACCACCCAGAGTAATGTCTGCCTTACAAACAAAGTGTAAATGTCAATTCAGTCATTCCAGGAAGACCAAACTGTTTATGGAGTTTAACTATGGAGACATTTAGGCTAATATTGCAGGTTTCCAAACAAAGATTAAGAATGTATTTAATAAGGTTCAATTCTGGGGTTGTACTATTTTAGCTCTATTACAAAGGATACATTTGTTAATTGGCTGAAGAACAACAGAGCACTCAGACCTGTTCTCTGACAAAAATAATTCATTTGATAAATGTCGAGTAATGCTTTGACTAAGAGAGACCAAAGAAAACATCACTTTAATGATAAATATACTTTATAGTCCTCCAACTTCCAAATTGGAACAACTTAACACCTGAATGTAGAGTTGGCCCTGCCCTTAATTCTACCATTTCTCCTATATGAGATACATGCATATTGTCTAAGACCAGCAGCCTAGTTTCCTACCTGCATTTTCTGGTCTCTTGTCTATTTTAATTAAAAAATAATAAATATTTTTAGCAGCAGGGTCTTACTAAGTTGCCCAAGCTGGTCTTGAACTCCTGGGCTCAGGTGCTCCATCGGCCTCAGCCACCCAAAGGGCTGGGATTATAGGCATGAGCCACTGCACCTGGCCTCTTGACTTCTTTTCTCACATTTTGTGTGTGTGTGTGACTCATTTTCAAGAACCACCTTCTACAGTTTGGCTTATATGTAAATTTATCAGGCTCAGGTCTCTAAATTAATGTCCCTATAGAGAGGCTTTTTTTTTTTTTTTTTGAGACAGAGTCTCACTCTGTCACCCAGACTAGAGTACAGTGGCACTATTTCAGCTCACTGCAACCTCCAAATCCCAGGTTCAAGTGACTCTCCTGCCTCAGCTTCCTGAGTAGCTGGGATTATAGGCGCACACCACCATGGCTGGCTAATTTTTATATTTTTAGTAGAGACAGGGTTTCACCATGTTGGTCAGGCTAGTCTCGAACTCCTAACCTCGTGATCCGCCTGCCTCAGCCTCCCAAAGTGCTGGGATTACAGGCATGAGCCACTGCTCCCGGCCATATAGAGAGGTTTTTACACTTCCTGATATCGACCATCTTCTTTGCACACCAATTATTTCCTAAAATCTAAAAACATGGTGCCAAGCCCTAATAAAAGGCATGATGATAACCTATTGCTCCCCACCTTACCCTCTCTGTGTTCCAGACATGGCCAGTCTTCACCACTCAGGTACAAAGACCCCAGGCATAATGATATGCAATGACCATAATAGATCATGATCAACCAACAAGTCTTAAACTTAATGGAGCTTTAATAACTGGTATCTTGATCTTAAAGATCAGTTTTTTGTAGTAGATTGGTTGATTGCTTTCTCCATTATTCCAAGAAAAACTAACAATTTATCAGGATTTATCCAATAAATGCTTTCTCACCCTTCTTTGACCCTATTTCAATTCTCCTCTCATTGTTCTTATCTAGTTCCACGTGTCCATTGTCCTGGTATTGTCCACTAGCAGTCCAAAGCCCTGACTCCAGCCCCTCATTGTTACTGTCCGCAGGAAATATCACGAATTCCAATATTACTTATTTCCCCCCAATTGCATTCACATTTTCCCATGAGTAACTAAATATAAAAGCTATGATATGATAGTGTTATTACTATAATTGTCAGCAGAGCGATTCAGATTTAGGTGTCAGGAGATGGTTACTATCTTGACATGACCACCTGGGATATTCCAGGGGTTCTAATCGGATACAAACCTAAGGACCATGTTTCAAAGTATTTTTACTGACCAATATTCAAAGACCTTCAGAGGAATCTCTGGCCAACCCAAAGCACAGTGTGCCTTTTCAGTTTCTGCCACTAACTGATCTGAGCCTGCAGATTTTCACACTAAGTATGCCAAGAGAAGATGCTGCTGCAACTATTTAAGAAATTGGATATGAAGCTAGGCCCAACTTACACAACTGCTCAGGAGGGGAATTATTATGTTCATGAAGGAAACCAGTTTGCACTGTGCCTTGATTCCACATTAAATATTATTTGTTTCTAGAGTCCCTGAGATACCTTGATTTAGTTTTCTATTTTTTAATGACTGGTGCACATTTGGGCAACTTTTTGCTTGTGTTATATGAGAATTACAAAATAGGTTTCAGCAGCACATCACTACTGAAAAATAGTATATACTGAAAAAGAATTACCTTCTTTTTAGATGCACACTTATCAGAAAGCCTCGATGTTCTTTACAAGGGATTCACACCTTCATAAAGGTAAGCATTAGCTCCTGTAACAGATAGAGCTCTTAAATCTTTTTGTAGTCCATGAAAGCCTCCCAAATCTCAAAAATAATCGCACAATAGCCCTGCCAAACTCACAGTAACCATGGTATTCACTATGCTCCATATCATGAGGATAATCTACAAGAAGGAGATCATACGATAAGCTGTGGTGTATCAAAGTAAAATATAGAAGTGAACGCCACCAGGGTCAGCACACCAAGATAAAGCAGAGAGATGTCAGTGGGCATATGCCCACATCCTATTTAATGTTTTACCAAGTCAAAGCAGAATCTTGCTCTTTATTAGTTTATAAAGTGTAACCCCACTTTCAGCTGGATGTGGGCTTCAAATCAAACACTGGGCTAGCTTTACTTGAGTGTGTGTGTGTATGAAAAAAAATCAAGATTTCTAGATAAGATGTACGTTTTACATCCCAGTACTACAGCTATACTTTTATAGAGTAAATCTTTCTTAACTATTAAGAAAAAAAATTCTATAGTGGAAATAAATGTAAATGTACTTAAAATATAATAAAATGTAAGATAATTTAGGTGAGAATATTAGCATGTTTCATTATACTTTAAAATGTCATATGGTTATGGCTGAAAGAGAAATAACAGTGAAGAAGTCATTGCTGAGCTTTAGAGTCTGTGGTTCCATCTGCTGCTTCCTTTCCATGTGACCTTCACCATGTGATCCCTCCATTCCCTACAACCATTACCCTGGTGAAGATCATACTCACCCACTGAGCAAAGTGTTAGGAACATAATAGGGCCTTAGAAATCTGCAACAATCATGCAAAAGTGTTTCTCATTTTTGTCTTAAATCCAGTTTAGACAGTTTGGCCTTTTAGTACCACCTAGGAAATCCTATCAGTGGTCTCTAGTTTCCGATTTCAGACTCAGATCTCCTGAGTTGTTCTGGTGAACCTTTTGGCCTCTCATCTCTATTTTGCCAACTTTCCTCTGCCTCCACTTCAATGGTGTGCACAGGCCCAATAAGAGGGTGTGATGCATGCTTGTAATCCCAGTTACTCAGGAGGCTGAGATAGGAGAATCGCTTGAACTCGGGAGGCAGAGATTGCAGTGAGCCGAGATCGTGCCATTGCACTTCAGCCTGGGTGACAGAGAGAGACTCCGTCTCAAAAAAAATAAAAATAAAAATAAAAAGAAAGGCTTTCCATGTCACCACAATTCTGAGTTCACTCATCACACCAGGGGAGCAGATTGTGTCCCAGAGAACAGAGAGTGGCAGAATTTTAGAGTTCTGGAAGAAACAACAGTGGCATCAAGAAATAGTTCAGTGGGGCCAGGTGTGGTGGCTCATGCCTATAATCCCAACACTTTGGGAGGCTTAGACAGGAGTTTGAAACCAACCTGAGCAATGTAGCAAGACCCTGTCTCTACAAAAAATTTAAAAAGCAAGATATAATGGCATGTCTGTGTAATCCTAGCTACTTGGGAGGCTGAGGCAGGAGGACTGCTCGAGCCCAGCAGGTGGAGGATGCAGTGAGCTGTGATCATCCTGCCACTGCACTCAGGCTGGGGAGTGTGACCCTCCCTGTCTTAAAAGGAATAAACAAAAACAAAAGAACTAGTTTAGTGGGAAAAAAAAGTTTAAAAATTTTCATTACCCACTAGATTATAAACAGTGTAGCGTCATTTTTTTTAAGAGTTCCTGTGTGAGATATGGTGAGATACAGTGTGGTCTGGTGAGCCATTCATGTGTTGGCCTGGAGTTAGTAATCCCACGAGAGATCACCTCACTGGAGGTGTCCTTAATGATAAGGTAAAACAGAAAATAGATAGGCAAAAGCACCAGTCCCCATGAAGACGGAGTAACAGCATCCGTTAAATCAGGTTTTTAGGGAAGGGTGCTGGGGAAAAGAACAAGTAGAAAGATAAAACCCCACATGGCAACTAAAATGAATATCTTTGCCCTAGAAAAGTAGCTGTCAATTACTTAGAGGTCTTGGAATCTAATGCATTTGAGGGAAGGAAATTACAAGAAGCACCATACAGAAAAAGTAACTGAGCATGATTAATGAATGTGAGAAAAATTCATAAAGCTTTTCCTCTTTCAATCAAAATAAGGATGGGTGACTATCCCTTGGCTGTTCCTGAATGGTTGGTGAGACAGATGAACAAGCAGAGCCGGCGATTCAAAGGGACACATAAAACTATGTTATCTCCAGACTGCACACAGCACCGTGCTGCCCACAAGAAAATCCCTTGGGGGTAGGGGCAGCCAGACCACTCATCTCCTAATGGTCCAGTGAGAGCAGCAGGACATAGAGCTCTGTCCACTGTGAGGAGAACAGCATCAGCCCTGCAGCCTCTGCTCTGCGACACTCAGGACCAACGGGATCCCAGGGCCTCCAAATTCCAAATCGCTTGCATCCCTCAGATGCGGGAGCTCAGAAGTGACTTGACTAGCCCAAAGTGGTACCTTTTTAATTAATATGTTTACAATCTGCTGGAAGACTTCAGGGAAAGCCTCCATAACCAACCTTACTGTCTTCTATAATGCTAAACCATACAACTAAAAGGTTTGCCTCTCCCTCTTACGCACCCATGAGCATACACATGCACACACACATATTCACATCCACATATTCATTTTAAAGATACTTGTCTCACACGATCATTATTCACATTGTCTTCCACGACTATTTTCAAAAAATACCCTATATATCCACTTTGTCAGCTTTCCACTTCCCCACTTTAATGGTGAGCACAGCCCCCAAAGAAACGTTTTCCATGCCACCTCAACCCCTGAGTTTGCCAGTACCATCGGGGGAGCAGCCTGTGGCCCAGAGCAGAGAAATGTGATCCTCCTAACATTGCCTTATAGATAAATATTTTGCCCAATAGTGCAAAATATCACCTATGGAAATGTCAAAAAGAAAAAAGAATGGTGTAAAATTATTTTCAGGAAAATCAAAGGTTCAAATTCTTATAAATAATATGTATTAACACGGTGGAATTTGTTGCCACTAGGATACTCTTTCAGTAAAGCACAGAAAACACTGCGCACACTTTTTTTTAAGTATGGACACTTACCAAAAAGAAACATAAAACTTCCAAATGTCTAGCCTACATCAGATATTGATTTGAAGGCAAAACTGCAAGCCCAGGCATTTATTTACTTCTTTATTCAGTATTTCCTTGGGATTTCATCAAGTACAAATCCCCCGGCAGTAGTGAGAGAAGATTTTTTCTTCTTTTTTTTTTTTTTTTTAAATTTTATGAGAGAGAGTCTCGCTCTGTCGCCCAGGCTGGAGTGCAGTGGTGCAATCTCGGCTCACTGCAACCTCTGCCTCCCGGGTTCACGCCATTCTCCTGCCTCAGCCTCCCGAGTAGCTGGACTACAGGCACCCGCCACCACACCCGGCTGATTTTTGTATTTTTAGTAGAGACGGGGTTTCATGATATTGGCCAGGCTGGTCTCAAACTCCTGACCTCGTGATCCGCCCGCCTTGGCCTCCCGAAGTGCTGGGATTACAGGCGTGAGCCATCGCTCCCAGCTGTGGGAGAACTTTCTATTGCACTCTTAAAAGCATTAAGCATTACTAAGTAGTTTCTTTAATTTCCGAAAAGTTACATAACTTCATATGATTTTCTTTACTGCTACATTTTACTAAACATTTATTAATAGAAAGGAACTGGGAACAATACTGAAATCCACTGGGAGCTGAGTCCTATAATGAAGGCATGAAGCAATTAGCAGCATGACAAGGAATACAAAAACCTCGGGAAGCGATCTCGAGGAGGTCCACTTCCGTTTCCATAAGCTGATAATTTGGAAATTTCAAATTCCCAACCAGAATACCAATGATTGTTTCCTTTCAAAGTATTACAATTCCACATTTTCATCTCAATCCCTCCCTCCTATTTTCTTTTCTTCTTCTCTTTCTCTCCTTCTCCCTCTCTATCTCTCTCTCTTTCAACACCAAGCAATTATGCTAGCATATAAATTCATGCATGCAGAAATTTTTGTCTGTTTTGCTCATTGATGTATATTGAAAGCACTTAGTGTCTAGTACATAGTAGGTACTCAATAAATATTTATTGACTTGAACTGAATATGCCCATTACTGGGAGAGTGGTAAATAAGACACAGTTCCTGCGCTCAAGGTAGCCACTACCCATATAAAGAAACCAACACGGTTATCATATAAACAGACGTGGTAAATTATAGGAGGCACGCACACAGTGTTCTTGGAATACTGTAGGGCAGCACAGCAACACTGCTATTATATAGATAGAGAGAGAGTCTTGGGAAATATCCCAGAGAAGATGATGTTTATCTTGAGTTATGAAAGAGTTGTAGGAATTAGCTAAACAAAGGAGGCAAGAAAGGGCCTTCCAGGTAGAGGAAACAGGACATGTAAAGACATGGAGTCTGAGATCACAACACGTTGCCTGCAGAACTAGAGAGAGACTTGTTCAGAAACAAGAGTACAGAAGTTATCAGGCATAAGGGCAAAAGTGTAACTGAGGGAAACCTTCCAAGAATTTCCAACAAGGCAGTAATCTGATGAGACTGTGATCCTTAAAATAGAGCTTTGAGATGGGAATTGGAAGGAGTGGAAAAGACTGGAGGACTGATGCTTGATTAAGAATTAATTGCATGTGTTGAACCACTATGGACAACAGCCTGAAGATTCCTTAAAGAACCAAAAGTAGAACCAGCATTTGATCCAGCAATCCCACTACTGAGTATCTACCCAGAGGAAAATATGTCACTATATGAAAAAGATACCTGGACATGCATGTTTATAGCAGCAAAATCCACAATTGCAAAAGTATGGAACCAGCCCAAATGCCCATGGATCAACGAGTGGATAAAGAAATTGTGGTATATATGTATATACGATGGAATACTACTCAGTCATAGGAAGGAACAAATTAACGGCATTCGCAGCAACCTGAACGGAACTGGAGACTACTATTCTAAGTGAAGTAACTCAGGAATGGAAAACCAAACATCATATGTCTTCGTTCATAAGTAGGAGCTAAGCTATGAGGATGCAAAGGCATAAGAATGATACAATGGACTTTGGGAACTTGGGGGAAGGGTGGGAGGGGGTGAGGGCTAAAAGACTACAAATTGGGTTCAGTGTATACTGCTTGGGTGATGGGTGCACCAAAATCTCACAAATCACCACTAAAGAGCTTACTCATGTAACCAAACACCACCTGTTCCCCAAAAACCTATGCAAATAAAAAAAGAAAATTGCATATGTTGAGTCAAGAAATGAGTCGAGCCTAAACTAACACAATAGAGATGCTATAGAAGAAAAGAGATTTAGGAGACAGTCGTGGCATGGCTGAATTAGAAGGAGGTGCTTAGAGCAAAATATGGGGAGTTAGGCTCCATGGGAGTTTTCCAGATTGAACAACTGAGAATCTCCGAGTTCCATTCACTGAGACCACAGATAAACAATAGCATTCTTTAGATTCTTAGTATAAAAATCTAGTATCTAATGTGAGACTATAAACCTATTCTTAGAATAGGATAAGATTCTTTAAAAATATGTAGGTTGTGGTATTTGGGGAGCAGTCAGTTTGGGTCATGAGTTTGAGTTTGGGATTCAGGGTGCCTGATGGAAACATGGATAGGAGGAGAAAGCTAGAAATAAAGGTAAAGATTTGAAAACACAGCGCTGAGCTGGATGAAGACAATGTGAAGTGATAGCTAAAGTTGTAGGGGAAAAAGTCAAGACTGGAAATGTGTTATCTCAGAGAGTAAAAATAGGACAGAACACAATAAATAGTTGTTGAATTAATTAGAGGAACAAGAATACCATCCTGGGAAGCCCAATATTCAAAAATAAAAGAACCCGTGAAAATGGCTTAGAAAGCAATATTTGCAAATTATTTCACAGGCCAATATGATCCTTAGATAGAAAATGGATTTGACTGGATTTGACAGTTTCTGTTTCCATTTTGAAGTACCAATAAAACCTCAATCTTCTCCTTAAATTAGTTTACTAAATGATACCATAATTGATTTTCATACGTTCCTTTATCTTGCTGATTATCACATCACATTTTCATATAATGAATGTCAAAGCTAAGTTTTCAAAGTAAACAAAGTAAATATCCTAGCACAGCACTTACAAATGAGATATCCTGGGGTCAGTGTAAGCCCAAATTAGCAAAAGCAACTCTGCTCATCATCTACATATAAAGCATTTTCCCCATTCACTCTTCACGTAACAGCAAAGCACACTGGTATCTAATTAAGTAAGATTAGACACAAATGAAACCCAGATGACTGAAGAGGAGACTCAATATGTTTCAATATCAATATAAAATATGAATTACTTTCCAAATCTATCATGACAGATCAGCAGGAGCACAGGCCTGCTGATTTAATGCCCCTGAGAAGTTACCAACAAAAAACATGCTGTTTCTAGGAATTATTTTTAAATGTTTATAAAATGACTATGTAGGCAATCACCAAATAGACCACTTCCACATGAGATTGTGAACATCTCACCTGTCTTCTTCCTCTTCCTTATCCAGATCCCCTTGACAGTCACCATCCACAAATGACAAACCATCTTAAACACTGACATACTCCTATCTACAAACCATTTTGGCGTGATCCATCGAGACTTCACGACTACCCTCATAGCCACATCCTTCCGGGATGAGAAGATGGAAAGAGTGTGTGGAAGGAGGAACAAAGAGTGTGTGGAATGAGGAACACCTGGGAGCCTGGTTCCTACTCTATACTCACAGCAGGGGATTACTGGGGTTGTACAACTTATTACATCTATGATTTTAGTGCTCTGGCAGATTTAAGTAGAAGATTCCTTGAGTCTCGAGGGGAAGTATCCGGATACAGTAACGTGGAAATAACATTAGTTTAGGATTCGAGTCTAGAGGTTTGTTTAGTTAATTAGTATTTCAAATTTTCTAAGGATTAAGGTACCCTTTTCAGCTTAATTTCTTCAAAGGGAACCAAGCACTGTTTGCTACCTCTTTGTATCTTTCATAGCACTTAATAAGCACTAAATGAATGAAATGAATCTTTGCACACTCAAAATGTTAACTATCTTCGACTGTGAAATACACAGCATCGGAAAGGTGGGGATCTCAGGGAACTTAAATTAAAGCTCTTGTCTTCAAAAAGCTGTGTCTGAGCTTGAACACTGGGTTTATTTTTGTTCCAACTTAAGTCCACATATAATAGCTTTTAGAGAAAAAATTTATTTCCTTGTTAGGAAAAAGGCAATTGTGTCATGTAGAACCACTGAACCTTGTTAATTTCATTATTTGCCTTGTGTAGTTATATCCTCAGGCATTTTAATTGCTATTTTATAGCCTTTAAAAATCTTTTTCCTGCAAATGAAAAACAATTAAGCAGACTTGAACATCTGTGGAGGATTACTAGAACAAAAAATCTACTATATAGTTAACATGAGTCACATAAATTTATTTTAGGGGGACAATAAACAAGGTTGCATAGATTAAATAAATTAATTTTACTCCTAATGTACACGAGCATTTGACTGGCATAATAGGTACCTATAAATATTTCATAAACAAGCGAATACATGAATTTTATTTTACTTCTCAATATGAAGGATTTTGAATGTCCTTTCCACTCATTCACAGTGAAGAGTTTGGTTCCACAGTATAATGTATGGATGGGGCACAGAGATTAGTTTAAAAGAAACTCCAATATTGATTAAAAGTAATAGATATTATGATTTTAAATAGTACATCAGTATGTTGAAAATGTGTTTATATTATTCATTTAATATCGAAAGCAACTAGGATTTCCTTAGACATTGTTCTGTTTTCATGCTTTGAAAACTCCTTTCTCAAAATTCACCTATTATAGAAAAATCAATGTACCAGGCAACATTCCAAAGCAAAAAGAAATGCCAAAAAAAAAAAGCAAAAAGCTAAACTCTAATCAGACTCTTGATATATATGGGGAGTAGATATCTTGATGTGTGCATACATATGTGTGTGTATGTGTGTGTGTGTATATATATATATATCTAGTATGTGTGCACACATCTTAATATCTTGAAGAGGAAAAAATCTTGTGATTTTAGGTATGAAAACTGCTTTTTAAAATTGGGTCTACCAAGTTTACTGTTTAGCCAGTTATCTCTATCAGTGTTCTTCCTAAATTAAGCTGAACATGGTTTTCCTATAATCACATTGGCCAATGAATGAAAAAACATCTAGTGGTCACACAAAAACCATACCTATTAACTTGTAAATGTTGTACCTATTTTACACAGATGCATATCGGTGATTTGCAAGAGTTTTTAAAACTGTATCTGTTTTGGGCATCTATTTAGTTAATCTGGAATCAAAGTGTGAACATTTTAAAAAAATGTGTAAAGTTCGATATTTCACCTATTTTTATACAGTGCAAAAATATTTAAAAGATTGTCTGGGGGCTGGGTGTGGTGGCTCACACCTGTAATCCCAGCACTTTGGGAGGCTGAGGAGGGCGGATCACGAGGTCAGGAGTTCAAGACCATCCTGGCCAAGATGGTGAAACCCCGTCTCTACTAAAAATACAAAAAATTAGCCAGGTGTGGTGGTGGGCGCCTGTAGTCCCAGCTACTCAGGAGGCTGAGGCAGAGAATTGCCTGAACCCAGGAGGTGGAGGTTGCAGTGAGCTGAGATTGTGCCACTGCACTCTAGCCTGGGCAATAGAACAAGACATCTCAAAAAAAAAAAAAAAGATTGTCTGGGTGTTTATTTACTGAGTCAAATGGTTTTTACACACTTTGGGCATTTATTTCCTTTAATTTCAATCCAAACTTTAATAAATTTAACAAGCATAAAGACGGCAGAACCCATGTGTAGGAAGTTTAAGAAAACTTAAATGAATTACTAATGAGATGTTAGAGGAGGAGAAAAAAAAAAAAAAACTCCCTACGAGAAGATGGACAAAATATACTAACAGAAGGGAGAAAATAATTAAATGTAAAGAGAAGCAAAATGCAATCAGACTAACCAAATAAAAATACCCGACATGAAAAATCAACACATTGTCATCAGTGTAAGGGAGCAAAGCACTGAAAATATGTGCCTCACACATGAGCTCTGCAATGGAACATGCTGAAGAAAATGCTATGAAACACATTCAATAAGCACTGATTAACAGCAATTACATCCCGGTTTTATAGCATATGTTACACAAGGTATGACTACTAGATCACAGCTAGCCTTTTTGATCTTGTTTGAAGTACAGAATTATAGTAAATCACGATTAGATTGAAATAAATCACAGATAATGACTTAACAATCATGTATTATCACCTTACTTGCTAGATTCAATTCAGTTCAATCAGTATTTGTCATCTTAAACTTTGTACTCAGGGATAATGGATTTCAAGTCACTTTGTTCATTTTCTTCTCAGCCAGAGCTACCACTATATTCATTTGACAGGCGGAAAAATAAAAATTACTAGATTTTCACAGGCAAAAGAGTTGTTAGACATGCAAAAAGCTAAAGAAAATGCAAGTGTATTTACTCAAAAGCAAGTTTAAGAATTTGTAATATCAAATGTACTTAAATTGCATCAAGATTCATCATAATGCTTTTGTTCTTCAACCTAGTAATTTGATTTCAAGAAAGCCAGAAATTTCCCAAGGAAATAACTCAAAACTCAGTGGGGAAAAATTCTGGGTACAATGCCCTCATGTGTATATTTCTAAAAGTGAAAAACATGAATCCACATAAATACTCAGAAACAGCTAAGAAGATCACCTTGCATCTTCTGCACAGGCTCTTATTCAGCCACTAAAAATGATTAGAAAGTAATATGGAGAACGCTTATGCTAAAAAGCTGACAAGGAAACACTATATAAAATTATACAGACAATATATTTTTAAAATACACATAAATATTTAAAGTCTGCAAAATAAGTGTATCAATGTGATAAATAGAGTTATGCTGGCATATTATAAATTTTGCTGTAGTTGTTTGGTTAATGAAGTTGTATTTTGTATGGGAAAAAACAAACTAAAACAGGGAAAATATTTTACTAATCTTTTGGTAAGGTGTCAAACAGTACACGATGAAAAAATTTTCTCTGTCAAGTATTCTTATGACTAAATGTTACTGCATCTTTTAAAAATTCCGTTTTATTCAACAAACATGTATGGAATGTGTGCTATGTAATGTTCCCTGTGCTATATGCATTTCATTCATACTCCATAGGGTTGTTCCCCTGACATTTCCTATTAAATACAAAGACTGCATCTTTGTCCTGTAAAGTATCTCCTAGGCTATGATTCCTGACTCCTTGTCAATTCACAGCCAGGCCATATTTTGCACTCTGAAATATCTACTCAACTGCACCAGACCAAGACCACTGTTGCTAATCCTTTATGTAAAATAATCCACCACTGTATCTGAAATGGAGAATACCAAACTCTTGCTCTTGCATCTGCTACTGTCAGACCCTAAGGGAGCTGCAGAAAGGAGCAGGCTACTTCTTTAACCATTGTCACTGCCTCCCTTCCTTGGATAATGTCATGGTGGCTTGAAGTTGACAATGACCTGTCTCTTCTCTTTCGAGCACGTGCTTGTAGAATCAGGGTCAAAGATGGAACAGGAGGTACAGGCAGTGAGAAGGAGTCTACTATATAGGACGGCAAACTTTCTACCCCTATCTTCCTGTTAGATGCAAAAACAATGACACCGAGGTTTGCAAACTCGTTCCTGTGGCTTCTGTCAATTTCATAACCTCATGTGTGCAAATAATAGTCAGCCAGGACTATAAATGGCTACTTTGCTGGGAATTCTTTGGACTCTTATTATTGTACTTTGATCCTGCATATGTGACAATGTTTCCTCTTACTTAGAACACTGCCTTTTCTTTCAGCAAAACCACTCCCTCATCTAATCCTTTTGGGTGTCACTTCTCAGGATCCTCCATCTGCTTGTCTCTTAAATGTGGGTGCTTCTTGAGGTTCCATCTTGTCTCAGTCTCCTCTGATCATCATCTCATTGGTTATTTTCCACTTGCCATGCCAAGGTCACTATTCCACCATCCACCCTTCTTGACCCTGCCCTGGGCCCCAGGAGGATGACCTCTATGAAGCCTCCAGGTGTTTCCTTGCCCTTTGGCTTCATGATGGATTTGGCCAACTGGGGGAAGAAAATAAGATGGTGGCAAGAGAGGGAGGTCAGCATGTATATTCCCCAGGCTCCTTCCCTGCTAGGCTCTGGGTTGGCAGTGGCTAAGTTCCTCTACTGAGGCTAAGGTCCCACGGCCAACCCTCTCCTACCACCACACTCACAGATTTAGCTCCTGCATCTCTACGTTGTAAATGCTCCTTCCGTTCAACCCTCCAGGCCTAGGAGAGGTCATGGCTGTCTGTGGTTGCTAGTCCTGGTGTGTTTCATCATCTCAGTTGGTTTTCTGAATCCTGCCCACAACCTTTATATATAGTCTTGTCATCAAATTCTCCTTAATTATCCCATTTGAGTGTGACATCTGCTTCCTGCTGGGATCCTGACTAACACTCCCTCTTATTCTCACTCAGCTTTAATTACTACCACAGGAAAATGACTTTAAATCACTATCACCCAATCTTTTTCCAATTTTCACACACGTATTGCAAACTGCCTGCTAAAGATTCCAAAATAACTTCAAATTAACATGTCTCAAATGGAGCCCACCTCCTTCACTCACCTCTGCCTGCTCCACCCACCCCTCCCTTCAACCCATTTCTCAGCCTGTATTTAGAGAACAGACAACCATCCACCCACCTGCACATTCTAGAAAATTGCCAATTATCTCCAATTCCTCTCTTTCACCTGTTCTCAAATAAGCTTGTTTTACTTCCTACATAATTCTTAAATGTGTTTCCCCCTCTCCATTAATATGGCCTGTACTTCAGTTCAGAATCCATGCTCATTATGTTGTATAGGAATTTCTGTTGTTGTCTCTCACTAACTAGATTGTGTCCAATTTGAGAAAAGAAACTATTGCCTGATATATGAACCAGTAAGTGTGTTGGTTGAATGAGTGCCTGAATGAATGAAGCCCAAAATGAAGATGAGAATAACAGAATTCCACTTTTTTTCATAGGTCTAACAAATAGCTCTCTGTCACTTCAACCTGCACACACATATGCTCACACACTCATGTTTAAGAATACATTGAACCCACTCATCTTAATTTTGTTTTGGTTTGGTTTGGATTTTTTCTTTCTTTTTTTTTTTTTTTTTGCGGGGTGAGTTCGAAGCAATGGCGTGCTAGAAAGTCATTCATGACTGGCTTCCCAGAGGAAAACGTCAAAGCCTTGATTTGTAGCATTTGCCAATTTCCATGGTGAAAAATACTCCCAACATTGCCAATTTCAAGCTACTAAAGTAAATCATTGAGTTAGGAGCTAGAAAAAGCTGTGAATCGCCACACTGACTTCCACAATGGTTGAACTAGTTTACAGTCCCACGAACAGTGTAAAAGTGTTCCTATTTCTCCACATCCTCTCCAGCACCTGTTGTTTCCTGACTTACCGGGCCTGTTGTGGGGTGGGGGGAGGGGGGAGGGGGGAGGGGGGAGGGATAGCATTAGGAGATATACCTAATGTTAAATGACGAGTTAATGGGTGCAGCACACCAACATGGCACGTGTATACATATGTAACTAACCTGCACGTTGTGCACATGTACCCTAAAATTTAAGCACAATAAAAAATAAAAATAAAAAAATAGCCTTACTGGAAAAAAAAGATGTGAACAACTGGCTCTCCTGAGCTGGTATGAGCTGGCTTCAGCAGAACACTGAACGGCTTTTATAAGAGACCCATATGTCACAGGGAAGGTTAGGTTAACTAAATTACCAGAGATTTCTGAAACGACACAATGACAAGGAATGGAGCGTTTTACAATTCTACATGAAAAATAAATCATTTATCAAAACTAGTAATAATAAAGAAATCCAGGGGCATCATCAGAACCTGATGATCATTTAGAGATAATTTAATTCTGTTTTGTGAAGTTTCCTGCCTGTGTATTCTTTAATTTAGTTTCGCTCAGTGAAACAATCGTTTACCACGTGCCTTTATTTTGTGGGTCTCTGGTTAAGTGAGGAACCAAGTGTCAAAAGGAAGTTGTTGATTTAACACCTACAGATGAAGTCAAATAACTTAATGCATGAGTGTTGTGCCGTTTCAAATGGGGAAAGGATGAGTGAAGGCTGCTTATGCATAACTGGGAAGACCAGTGAAGGGCTCTTGGAAGAAGTTTTTTTTTTTACTTTGGTAAGAAAAGCTAGGATAAATTAAGACAGAAGAAAGGAAAATTGAGATTTGCAGGAGTACTTGATATAAAGCTTGGCACATAGTAGGACCTCAGTAAATACCGAGTGAATGAATGAGTGATTCAATGAATAAATGATTGAGTGAGTAAATGAATTAAAGGGAAAACGCAGGTAAAGGAAGAGATGTCAATGAGCATAGGTATTGGGTTTGATCTATGTGGCCCAACAGACTGAGTCCTGCACTGCTTAACCCCAATATTTCCTATTCAATGTTAATTCTTATCACTGCTAAATCACTTGTAGTGAAGTTGTCATTTTTTGTGTGAACCACTGTGTCCATCTTCTCTGTTTCTGTCACTACACTTGCATCCAAGCTTCTATCATCTCTCAACTGCATGGTTGCAGAAGCCTGTCAATCACTCCGCCAGAATCCACTCTGGCTGTGCCCCCATGCATTACCCACTCTGCACCCAGCATGAGCTTTGCAAAATGCCAATGGGAACATTTGATGATTGCTGAACCCCTACACCAGTCTTTAGGACTTAGGGTTGCTCAATGGTTTGGATTATTCTTACAAGAAAGTCAGCACTCCTGGATGTGGCTTAAAGAGCCCTACATGATCTGACCCCTACTTGCTTCTTCAGCCTAACATCCCAGCACTGTACCCCTCCATCCCCACAGCCTTCTTTTAGGCCATTGAGTGGAGTCTGTACACACTACTTCTTTTCACAGAAATGCTCTCCACTAATTTCACATATATTCTGTCTTCTGTGACCAAGTCAGACTGTCTCAGAGCACCATAGCCCTCTCTTTTGTAGAATTTATCAGTTACAAATGTGTATTTACTGTTATATTTGATGAAAGTTGATTTCTCCCACTAGTTTGTAAGTCCCAGAGGAAGAAGCTACATCTGCTTTTACTCAAGTGTTTGGCACATTCAAGTGTTTGTTGAATGAATGAACAAAATGTCATGTCCATTTCAGTTTCCACAAGGTTGTTCCCATTCCTGAGGTGACCTCACACCCTCCCACCCCCACCACAAATGCAGATCTAATATTAATTTCCAAGCCTAGCTCAAAACCCATTATTTAATTCAATAAATATTCATTAATGAATGATTATGTTCTAGACCCTGTGTTTGGGACAAGGATTACACGGCCACATAGAATCTTAGCAGCTCCCTGAGGAATGCCTGTTCTACCCAGGAGGATACACCACTCATTGCCGTGTCGTATGTTAGGAGCACTAACAGATGTGTGGCCGAAATCTATGGAAGCACATTGCGCAACTAAAAGAATAGCCTCTGGATATTCAATAAAGCTCCACAAAGAAAGAGGCATTTGGCTTGACTTTTTTTTTTCTTTTTTTTTTTTTTTTTGAGACAGAGTCTCGCTCTGTTGCCCAGGCTGGAGTGCAGTGGCGCAATCTCGGCTCACTGCAAGCTCCACCTCCTGGGTTCACGCCATTCTCCTGCCTCAGCCTCCCGAGTAGCTGGGACTACAAGTGCCCGCCACCATGCCTGGCTAATTTTTTGTATTTCAAGTAGAGATGGGGTTTCACCGTGTTAGCCAGGATGGTCTCGATCTCCTGACCTCGTGATCCACCCGCCTCGGCCCCACAAAGTGCTGGGTTGGCTTGCTTTTTCAAAGACTTTCTTCTTTAATGTTTTCCTATTTCTTAGAAAAAATATGATAATAATATGTATTTCTTTAAAAAACCTACTATTTACTGGGCTTCTACTCTGTACCAGTCACTCTGATTGAGGCTTTTTATAAATTACTAATTTAATCCTACCTTAGAATCTTTTCTGACTCCTAAATTTTAGTAACATGGTTTTGCAATAAAATTCCACTCAAATATATAATGCATGGTTGTTATTTAAATTGTTTCATTTAATGTCCTGGTTTCCCAAAATACTGCTCCAAAGCTGCAGTCTGATATTGTATATTTTCTGCATTCCCGCCTCCATCCTCCTCCATAGTGCTGTGCTAGACACAGTAAGTGGTTAATAGACACCTTTGGATAAATGGAATCCAGGTGGCCTTTGAGTGTATGTGGTAAAGAGTTTTTATTACAGTCCAAGAGTTCCACAAATAAGTTATCATGCATCACAAAAAGTTTCACTTCTTAATTGCATATGATTTTCTTTTAAATGCAAAAATATGAGGATCATCATTGCACACCTGCTGTACATATTTTTTAATGCATGTTCTAAAAGAGATCAAGAAAAAATGCGGAAGAAGATAAAATTTCTTTGGAATTTCAATCTTTTCCTGAGATTCCCTAGGTACAGGCACTGTGCACATGCTTCTGACATGCTGTAGTTCATTGAGTCCTGGCTACAGCCCTGTGACAGTGATATCTCCAACTGACAGATAAGAAGGAAAAGATCAAAGAAATTTCATGAAACTTGGACCAGATCAAATAAAACTGGCACTCAGAACTTAGGATCTTTGAAGCCCGCCCTCTCCTATCATTCTTTTATTTCCTTCCCTGCAAAACTATCTCCCCAGTGACTTGTTCTATCCGACCATTGCTCTCATGTGTTAATGGGTTTTCTTCTTGTCAAAGTGTATTTTCATAAACAAGTTATGATCTTTATAAAAACTGTTTTTTGTTTTTGTTTTTGTTTTTTTTAAGATAGAGTCTCACTCTTGTCACCCAGGCTGGAGTGCAGTGGTGCCATCTCTGCTCACTGAAACCTCTGCCTCCTGGGTTCAAGTGATTCTCCTGCCTCAGCCTCCTGAGTAGCTGGGACTACAGGCACACGCCACCATGCCTGGCTAATTTTTTGTATTTTTAGTAGAGATGGGGTTTAACTGTGTTAGCCAGGGTGGTCTCTATCTCCTGACCTCATGATCCGCCTGCCTCAGCCTCCCAAAGTGCTGGGATTACAGGCATGAGCCACCGCGCTTGGACAACTTTGTCTTCTTAATTGCATAAGATTGTCTTTTAAACATGAAAATGGGAGGTTCAACATAATAAAACTGCAATTCATATTTTCCCAATGTTTGTTCTGAGGAAACAAGGTAAACTAGAAAAAAAGACAAAAAATAAAAGGAAGGATTATTTATTGATGTCCCAGAAACTCCCTAAATATATAAACTAGGTAAGCTACTTTCAGGATTTAATGACCTAAGACATTAAGTTACTGCACAAAATAAAACTCTCAACCCTCAGCTAAAGTCTGCAACAGAAAAAATGTAGCCTATGCTCAAATATTGGAATCTCAAGGCTTCTTTATGGTAGTATTATTGAAATTACTGCCTGTTATTGCATGAAGTAAAAGCATTCGGTAAAATATAAAAGAAAGATAAACTTTCCCTTTTTCTTGCCATAATAGGTAAGCTGTCTCTTGCATCATTTATTATCTCTCAGCTAACAGGTCCCATGGCCCTCATTTTCCTGTAATGTTATCTGTGTTATAGCTTTATGGTGACATCATCTAAAGAGCATAATTGCATCTGAGAGCCTTACAATTATTGAATTTTGCACATTCTACAGTGTAAAATAAATTACAACCTGCATTCTTAACAAGTGAAAAGAAAAGAATTAAGCATATTATTTAGCCTAGTAAAAAAAAAAATCTGGCATCAGTATGGTGTGGTTTGGCAACGAGGAGTAAAGACTGTAAAACTAGCCTAATATAGAGAAATAGAGAGATGAGGAATACAGTAGAGATGAAGCATTCCACAGCGTAAGCTTCACCCTGATGGTTGGAATATCTGAGTAAAAGGTTAAGAACACCTGATTTCCTAAACCATGTAATAAAGGTCAATTTAAGAATGATAGATCAGTTAATATCTTTAGAGAGCAAAGAAGTTATTTTTAAAAACAGTAAGCCACACATACACAACATATATAAATCAGCACATAAATATAGTTTTAAAAACAAACATCAGGTGCAGGGCATTTTAAAGGGGGATTTAATGTTTAAGTGTAATTATGTGATAAATATTTATTAACAAAAAACACAGTAAACCTTATAAAAACAAAGCCACATTCATACTTCCAAGTCATCTTACTCTAATGGAAAGGTCAGTGCCTCTATATAAAGAGCTGAAAGCACTGTGGCATTTCATACAAGGGAATCAAAAAATAAAATGGGTATATGAGGCCACTACTTATCAATAATGATGCCATGTTTCCAAGATACCTGCTTACTCAACTTGAAAGTTAAAAAGTGCTAAAATCAGAAAGAATTTTTTAACAAGCATTGTGAACATACGGCAGAACTGTGTCATTTTATGACAAACCAATGTATGGTATGCCTTTTAAATGCACAATAAATATCTGTTGAATAATGAAAGAAAGGTTGGGTCAACCCTTAAAAAATATTAAATTTGGATATATCATTGTTTATTTCCTCTTTTTAAAATAATACGTGTACTTAGTAAACCATCTATTTTAAAGGTCTTATGCAATCTTTATAGCCTCTTTTTGCCTTTTTCTCCCTCAAAAACAAAATTTCTTAAGGAGAATCACTTGTAAGAGATTTGATAAGTTATGAAATGACCAGCACACCTACAGGTTAAATGTGAGACGGAATAATTTACATCACAGTGCTGTGGTTTCATTGTTTTAATATTATGGTATATTTATAGAAGTTTCATTTTCTTTTCTTTCCTTAAAAATAAAAATATACTGAGGTAAAAGATACATTTAAACTTCTAACCATCAGCATAAAACTTATTAAAACAGAATAACTGGGAAAGCAGGCATAGTTCTCCCAAAGGATTTATACTGAAATCAATACCTATCTATCATAAAAGATAGAGGGTATTTTTAATAATCTTACCCAGAATGAGCAAAAACTGGAGAAACCCCCTACTCTTTCTTATTATGAAATACATATTTAGGTCAAAATATAATGTTCCTTAATTAGAGACTATTGACACTCTTAAGTTTGCAAAAACTCAAGGAACATCTAGCTCAGTGGTTCTCACCCCTGCTGTGAATCAGGACCTCCTTGTGGAACTTTCCAAATCTACTGAATCCAAATTTCCTAGGTGGAATCAGGGAATCCGACTTTCTCAGACACTCTGCAAGGGGTATGAGAACTCCAGCGATAAGTCTATTCATTCAGCGTACGCTCTCTGGTGCCTACAACTCTGTGCTCACTACCATGCGGCTGAGAGAGCAAGGATGAAGAAAACATGAAATCCTTGTAAATAAGGAGGAGAAACAGTTGAGTACAATAAAGCAGGTGAGTGTGAAGACAGAAGTAAGTAAAGAGAGTGCTTTGGGTGATGAAAAGCGACCACTAAACCAGATGGGGTTCAATGAGAGAGCTCAAGTCTCCAAAAAGAGAAGCCTTCTTACTCTACTCCTCAAACTACAGGCCCAGCTTCTAAACAGGCCTGAGCTAGGGAAGGAAGACCTTGTCTTAAACCATCGTTATGCGGGCTAATTAGCCTAATTACTAAATAGAGTCTGTTTGTATGATAGGAAGACCAGACAGTCAGCGGACTGCCGAATTTTCAGACAGGGGCAGGGAAACGATCAGTCTCATTGAAATAACATAAAGGGACAATGAGAGAAAGGTGTAAATAAAATTGTTTTATATTGGCACCACACAGTTGTGCTTGTTCAGTTTGATGGTTCCCTCGAGAAGCTCTTATAAGCCCATGAAGAATGGTGAAATGTACAGGGAAAAGGCTGAAGGTATTTTCATTTTGATCTTTATGTATGATACATTGTTTCGCATTCATGTCCTGACAGGTACTTGTGGGCATTGTTACCATTTCATTTTACTGAATGCTGGAATATATAGACAAATGGACCACAGAATTCCCAAGTCTGAGAGCTTTGCTCATACACGGTCTGAGCCCTCTTTTATCTATTATCCCTAAAAATAACAGGAAGATGAACTAAAGCACCTTATATGTTCTTCCCTTGTGACTTCCTGACATCAAATCTTAGATCCAATTGTACATATTGTCACAAACCAAAAGAAAAATCCAAATGTCAAGACAAGTTATATCTACACATGATTAAAGATAAGAAAACTGTAACACATTCACTGTGACTCTTCCAAAAAGGTTAATCTGTTTAAAAAAAAAAAAAAAAAGGCTGGGTCGGCCTGTTAGTAATAAAACGACTATAATAAATAGACTGTACTTATAAAAACCCTCTTGATAGCTGGACATCTAAAGTCAGATCAAGTCAAATCAGCAAATTTCATTGAGACAATAGCATGAATGATAGAAAAAAAAGGAATAGATGTTTCTGCCTTCACAAAGAAACATATATGGAGATAAGCAATACGAGAACCCTTAGACTAGAATGTGGCTATTAGTATTGCCTTTGACTTCCTTCCCTCCTACTTTAACCCTATGTTTCAGACGAACTGGGATCTGTCCCTTTCCTTACTCCCAAATGTGTTCTACCAGGGCGTCTCAGCACATCCTCATCTAGAAACAGGGATATCTGAAATCCTCCAGGTCTTTAAATGTCTATTTCAAATGACACACTCATGCTTACTCCACACTAGATTTTGTCTTTCCTCAAAGTGGGCCCTCATCCTGTTCAAAGAATGAGGTCACCAAGAATGGCTTGCCATCTGCTGCTGCATTAGTGTCCTGTGAAGCAGAGATGAGGGAACCAACCATTCAAATGACTGATTATCCTGGGCACTGTTTCCCTTCCCTGGAGTTATACTTTGTCCCACTGCAATATCAATAGCAACAGAAATTTTTTCCAAGAAACACTTTGAGGGCAAAGAGAATGCATTGAAATGTTTAGTTCCTTTGATTTTCTAAGAAGCAAACAGACTTTAAAGAACTGTGTTGTGTTGTTAATAATTAAAATCTTTTAAATGTTTGCTAGAAGTGAAAAAGAAAACTATTAAAAAAATTTCTCCCCAAAACATGAATATTGATAGACTTAAAATTACAAAATGCTTCTAAGATATAGGTTATAGTCCAAGAAATGGGAAACTTTGCATGCACAGTATCACATACACATACCACATACACAGATGTTGGTCCCTTAATGTAGAAACTGAAAAATGACTGTTTTCTAGATAGATCTGAACCTCAGAAATCTTTGGTTTGCCCATGCAATATTTTTTAAAGATACACACACACACACACACACAAAGCAACATCTAAGCACTGCTAAAAGTTATGTTAAAAACTTGATCTTGATTTTAAGCAGCTCTTAAAAACACAGATGAGCTGCCAGCAGAATGTCAGCATTCTTTCTGGTATTTTTAAGACAGGCTCAGTTTTAGCAGTGCTGGGTCTTCAGAAGGCCACATGCTATCTGACTGTAGTCCTCTCCCAGGGGGCTCATCTGCACATCTGCCTGGCCCGCTGCCCTGCTACTGCGGCAAGTGAATGTAGCATTTTTGCTTCAGCTTCTAAATGTATATACATTTTAGCAAACATTTACGAAACATGGAGTTAAAAGACCCGGCACTACAGTCTAAGCGATCTGAAACTTAGCTTTCTTATCAAGACATAGCAACCTATCACACAGTTTTTAATTCAGAAGCAAATGTTTAGTGACGGTAAATAAGAAATTCCATTGACAAGGAAAAAAATCTGTTAGAACTGATTATCTGCTGTCAAATAGTCACAAAAAGTTTCATAACCTGGATTATTTTTTCTTTCGTTGCTTGCATTTGTCCAGGGCTAAAGATTTGCTGCTTTTCAAATTGTCTTTAGTTAAGAGGGAAACCTATGTAACTCAGAATTAATTTCTTGTTAATTTCTAAAATTTTAAATTAAGAATACTTGAAAGAGATGTCTTTAAATAGTTAAGAATAATCTGAACACCTAATCATACTCTAAATCCGTATACATATGTAGGTGCAAAATTAAGAGAAAAAGCAAAAAAAAAAAAAAAAACAAATTAATCTTACCTATTTTCTCAATCTGACATATTGGCTTTAAAACATAATTTATGGTGACTGTCTAGGAAAATAAACATTTCACCACACACTTATGATTTATTGTTCATAACGAAGTTAACCGTTCCTCAGCTTCTATGACAATCTACTGAAACTAAAGATGTAATTCTGTCCTGCAGATCTGGTGATTCAGAAGGGCATGTAGAAATAACTCTTTAGACAACCAAATGGAACAAGCTCAGAATTTACCCAGAAGTGCAGACCACTTGTTCTAAAATATACTGTAGTATATTCTTATGCTACCATGAAGTCTATGAATTTCATTTCATAAAATTTTTCTCCATTCACACATTTTTCCTTTTGAAAACAGCATGTGTGAGCAACGCATATTCACAGCTGAAATTGTTTTCTTCACATCTTAGAAGGATGATGAAAAGTTCACATGCATCTTCCTTCACTCAACTCAGAAGCAGATGGTAAGGCTGACTGCAAAATCACCTACTCAGTCTGTTGTTCAGTGGCCTCTGATACCAGGGGATGCTGTCATTTTTCAGGCCTTTTTTTCCATCCTACAAATGGATCCCAAAACTCTCAAGACATTATAGTTCATCCCCTTGTTAAATACTCAGTCCATGAAACTGACAGGCCATCTTTGCTATCATGTTCCTCCCTACTGTTTTTCCCACTTCCATCCTCACCAACTATGGTGTTACCTGTTACCTTGGTAGTTTATCTTCCTTTTCTATCCATCCTCATACTTATTGAGAGGGTTGAGGTAGCTTACTGGCTGGCAGGCATCTGGGCTTCCAAATTATATGTCTTTCTAATCTACTGGAGAGAAGAAACATATATAAACCCTTCCAGAAAGTCTCCTAGCCTTCCAGTCATAGAATATGTGGAGCATATTCCTTGTTAAACCTGACACTTCTTTAACTTAAACCTTTTCCTCTTGACATAAACATTAGTGGTTCTTGAAATCATTTTCTGAAAAGAAAGAAAATATTAATTGGCAGCAAAAAGAAGAAAACAATTCACAATTGCTACTGATACCTGTCATTAATCCAGACCAGTATGTTTTCATTGGAAAGAAGATAAAAGTATATTTCATTCTTGTTCATAATACTGAATATTATTCTTCCAAACCGTAATACTCAAGAGAAAACGGATAAAATATCTGTCAGAAGTTGTACTCTTTACCACCGAGAGTAGTATTATTGTTCTGTAGAGAAAAATCTCTCTTTCAATCAAGGGCGGGTTTGAAATCCTTTACTGCATATGCCCGTGGTTAGTTCCTGTATCGATAGTATATGGTCATTTGTTTGAATCTAAACGTTAGGAGAAAATCAGTGATCAAACCTGATAAAAAGTAGTCCAAAAAACAAAACTTTTATTTAATAAAAATCAACCTATGACCACTGGAAAATCTTATGAAGCATGGTCTCTAAGATTTTATTTCTTTAAAATAGATTTTGAAATCCAGATCAAATTTGGCTTCCCCACGATACTTAATTCTGTTTCTGAAGAGCCTCTTTTATTTCTCTGAACAGTGAATAATCAAAGAAGGTAGGCCCCATAGCAGCGTCCTGCTACCATGTGTATATTCAGGGTCTGCTTTTCTTCCTTAATTTTTACCGAGTAAGAAAATCTATGGCAAACATTAAAATTAAGCACTTCTGCCTGTCATATTTTATACCAACAATGCATTATTTACATAAGACCACTAAATCAGCATCCAAGTTGCATAGAGAACATTATCCTCAGTGCCTAGATGATACTACTTGGATGAATGAAGTGACATATGATTAGAATTGTGTTAGAAGACTACACTGAAAAATGTTTTTCTCCTCTCCAGTTCTTATTTAAACAGCCACATATCCTTCTTGCTCTAGCTTCATTTGCTAATTAAAATTTATTATCTTGGTTGAGCCACAGCAATATACTAATGAACAAACAAATACACCTTTAGCTATGTTAAATTTTTCCCTATCTGAATGTGAGTTTCTTCTTTGTTTACAACTTTATATTTTCCTCAAGTTCCCTTTATTTTCCTATTTTCATATTTTATTCTGGACTTAATTTATCTTAATTTAATGAGTTCTTATATAACAGAGAAGAAGGAATATTTATTTATTTATTTTCAGACAGATTCTTGCTCTGTCGGCCAGGCTGGAGCACAGTGGCACAGTCTCAGCTCACTGCAACCTCCGTCCCCTGGGCTCAAGCAATTCTCCTGCCTCAGCCTCCCGAGTAGCTGAGATTACAGGCACGTGCCACCATGCCTGGCTAATTTTTGCATTTTTAGTAGAGACGGAGTTTCACCATGTTGGCCAGGCTGGTCTCAAACTCCTGACCTCAGGTGATCCTCCTGCCTTGGCCTCCCAAAGTGCTGGCATGAGCCACCGCACCAGGTTGGAATATTTTTAAGTATCATGTATAAAAAAACTTAGACTTTTTTTGCTTTGTATTTTGTCTATGTGATTTGTTTGTTACTTTACTCCAGAAACTGAAACCAGAGTGAGAATCAGACATGCATTTGTTTGAAAGCTGCTTTGGACAAATTATTTAACCTGTTTGCAGTTCATTATATTCAGCTATTAAACATTATACTCATCTATGAAACTCATACATTAAATATTAACTCCTTAATATTATTTTAGGATTAAATGAAATATTACAAGAGAAGTACTTAGAATACACAGAGTAAGCAAACAAAAATTTTTGTAAATGCTAATATTGGTATTTTTACCAATAAATTATTCTGTATCAAAGAGTCAAACTGTGGTTTTTCACAAACTAGAATCTCACTACTCACCACGTGTTCCTTAAGGCCAGAAGCTCCTAAGAAACTGACCAGCACGCTTTGCATAAAATGCATATTCAATTTCTACACTCTCCATTGAATCGATCCTCCTTAATCTCAGCTGAATTTAATGGAAGGCAGTATATGAAATCTGGCATGCTGCCTATGCTAGACTAGCTTTTCAAAGTGTACATTACCCGATTGAAAATATTTTGTTCTGTTCCAGCTTTTCTACTACCTGCTTTGAGACAAACACAAGTGAGAGGCTGATATTTGTTTAATGTCACACAGCGCAGACAAATTGAAAAGGCTGGAGGATGGTTTGTTCCAAATAATATCAAACTGCTGTAAACATGTGCCTTAGGTAGACACAACCTAAATGAATATTCAAAATTACTTAGGTTTATTGAAACCAAACTGAGGAAGAGATTAACAACTTTTTTTTAAGTAGGCCATTTGTGTCACTCAGTGTAGAATTATTCTTTTCATTTATGTCAAAGACAAGCAGTTACCTGTTATCAAAGCATATGTGTTCAATACCAAATTAATTGTGAATAGAAAGATAGCAAAGGAGCAGATGAAACAAAAAAGCAGAACACTTACAAGGCACGCCAGAGCCCCAACATTCAGACACAAACACATTTAGATTTTTAGCTGGAGAGACGGCACCTGCTTCTACTGGCAATACAGAAATTGCTCATAAAACCACCACGGAAGCTTTACAAACGACAAGGGCCTAGCGAAGTCTAAAACTCAAATTCTTTCCATCAGGAACCCTGGTTTCTCTTCAACAAACACCTCATGCTTGGGTTTGTGTTATTTCGATATCTTACAAATGATTTAAAATTATATCATCAATCTGATTTTTAAAACCAAAGCGAACATTTACAATCACAATGAAAAACAAACTGACATTTAGCTGTTTGTTTAAAAAAACGTGCACATATGTGCACACCGCAGAACTACACTGCAGAACTATGCTAACTTTCTCCACACCGCAGAACTATGCTAACTTTTCAAAAACATCTAAATCCATCTGATCTTGAGCCTTTCCATTTAATTAATTAACTAAATAATCCAGATAAGTGAGTTCTTCGTTTCCACATAGCCACTCATTATTTTGTGTCCCATAGTTTTGTCCAAAATAACATTGATTGTAGCTCACAAAATGTAGAACCCTACTAAAAGGTGGCCAGGTGTGGTGGCTCACGCCTGTAATCCCAGCAATTTAGGAGGCTGAGGGGGTCAGAACACTTGATGTCAGGAGTTCAAGACCAGCCTGGCCAACATGGAGAAACCTCATCTCTACAAAAATACAAAATTAGCCGGGTGGAATGGCGGGTGCCTGTAATCCCAGCTACGTGGGAGGCTGAGGCAGGAGAATCTCATGAATCCGGGAGGCAGAGGTTGCAGCGAGCTAAGATCCCACCACTGCACTCCAGCCTGGGCGACAGAGTGAGACTCGGTCTCAATAAATAAATAAATAAATAAATGGCACCAATACATGATTTGAATCCAGATTATGATTCACTTCCCACCTTCATGGAAAAGGAGCTTGCCTTGTTGGGCCAAAGGGTGGAAGGTGTGAACAGCAGTGGAAACCAGTAAGGCTTGGTTAGACTTAAAGGGAGCATCCTTCTCTCTTTGAGCTGATATCTGCTCTGATTTATCTTTTTTTTTTCATTTTTGTTTTTGTTTTTTGACATGGAGTCTCGCTCTGTCACCAGGCTGGAATGGAGTGACGGGATCTCGGCTCACTGTAACCTCCACCTCCCGGGTTCAAGCAATTCTCTTGCCTCAGCCTCCCGAGTAGCTGGGATTATAGATGTGCGCCACCATGCCCAGCTAATTTTTGTATTTTTAGTAGAGACGGGTTTCACCATGTTGGCCAGGCTGGTCTCCATCTCTTGACCTCGTAATCTGCCCGCCTCGACCTCCCAAAGTCTGATTTATCTTGAAATAAGTCTGTGTTCTGGTGGACCATTAATAATAATCTAATAATTATGATTATATAATTACCAATGAAGCTCTTAACATGTTCTACAGCAATCTCTTATTCTACTCATTTATCCTATAAAACCATTCCTACGAGACAAGATAAGAAAAATATTCACAGCAAAAAAAGCAGGATATACTGCAGCAGTGAGACTGTTTTGGGAGTGCTTGCTATGTTCTGAGTTATTTGTGCACACATATACTCATTTCATCTTCCTGATAACCAGCAGAGGCACGTACCTGAACAATTGTTCTTACTCCACAAATAATGAGACTGAGGAACTCTGGAGAAAAGGGACAATGGTGGCGGGGGGATGAGTAGAGTGAAGGAAACCCCAAGACTATCGCTATACGGCAGGCCTGGAGAGGAACAGTGCTGACTGGAGGAACCAGTGCTGACTGGAACAGAAGGATAGATGACTCCTGGAGGAAAAGAGGGAGGGAGGGAGGAAGGAAGGAAGAAGAAAGGAAGGGAGGAAAGAAGGGTGAGAAAGTGAGAGAGGAAGGAAGAGAGAAAATGAAGGAGAACGACAAAAAAAAAAGAAAAAGAAAGGGGAGAAAAAGAGTGGGAAGGAGGGAGGGAGGACCTGAGACAAGTAAGTATTAATTCAATAAAACCAAAAAATAATACAAAAAGATAATATCATAGTTCACTAAGTAATTCAGCAGTAATATACAGTCAAAACATATTAATATTAAATATTAATATAACCAAAATTTTTATATGATTATCTTGGAAGTATAAAGAAAGAGATTTATAAGAGGGCTAAAATTTTCTAGAGTAGGAAATAACTTCTAAAAGCCAAAAAGCAAAACACAGTAGTCTATGCCTGCTATTTAGAAATATGAAAGTAAATAACAGAAAAAACAGCCTAAGAATCTGAATGTGGTTGCCTCTCAGGAGTAGAAATTGGGGATCGTGCACTGAGGACTGCTATTATTTTATCACAAGCCTTGAGAATTACGTTACTTTCCAAATGACATAAAATTAATATTAAATGTAAAAAATAACAATTAGAGTCCAATCCCAGCTTTTTTTTTTTTTTTTTTTTTTTTTTTTTTGAGACAGAGGCTCTGTCGCCCAGGCTGGACTGCAATGGGGCGATCTTGGCTCACTGCAACCTCTGCCTCCCGGGTTCAAGCGATTGTCCTGCCTCAGCCTCCTGAGTAGCTGGGATTGTATGTGCATGCCACCAGGCCCAGCTAATTTTTGTATTTTTAGTAAAGATGGGGTTTCACCATGTTGGCCAGGCTGGTCTTGAACTCCTGACCTCATGATCCACCCACCTCGGCCTCCCAAAGTGCTGGGATTACAGGCATGAGCCACCACGCCCGGTCCACAACTTATTTCTTATTTGTTTTTCTTTCGTGTAGGTCTGCCAGTTAGAAACTGTATCTAACTTACTTATGTTTGCTGCCCAAATAAGCTACATGTTAAGTAAAACAAAACATTTTAAAAGTGAAAGGCACAATGCTTTAAGAGCACAGATCCAGGCCACCTAACCCAGACAGGAGGCCAAGCAAAATCCTGACATGTTGCAGGCCCCACAAGTCATTTTTGAATCTCTAAAAGTGAAGTCACCTGCCACTGTTTCTGTCCCATAGGAGAGTTCAATACATTTTATTTCTTCCCTTTCCTTCCTTCTTCAAACCTAATGATTGTGTGAGCCAACACTAAAGCATTACAAAAGCTTAAAAACTCGTTAGTGACACAGGAATGCAACAACTGTGTAAATCATATTTAAAAACAAAATAGAGTGAACATATCTAGGCAGTGCTTTGTCTCAACCATACTTCAGTGGTGAAAAGAGGCAGGTTTCCCAGTTGGAACAAAGCACATTTAAGGACGCCCACAGCAGTGAGGCTGAAAAAAACAGTGAGAAGCTGGAAGATAAATGAAATCGTGCTCAGAATTTCTTATTTTGCCTCAGAAAAATATATTGATCTTTTCAACCGCTTGGAAACTAAGCATGAAGGGGCAGTGTGGTAGAAGTCTTAATGGAAATCCTTTAGAGAAAGCGGATGAGTCAATGCAGGAGCTAGGTCCAGAGGGGTCAGCGGATCTTAACAGAAAGATGGTGCTGGAGGAAGGGGGTGTAGAAGGGACACTGCATGCCAAAGGCACGGGGCAGAACCCCTCCAGAGAGGAATCCATACGGGAGGTAAAAGACTATGAGATGTGACAGACCGTGAGATCACTGCTGTCTCGCCGTGGCCAGAACACCCTGACACCAGGATGTGTCTTCTGCCCTGGGAAATGACTGATGTGTGCATTTTACAGAGATGGTATCAGCCCTCTAGGCCTTGAAAATGGGTTCTTAGAGGGTGAAAAACATTTTGGATTTTGCAATGGTTTCTGACTCTCTAGGCGGCCACATTCTAAAAAAGACACACAGTATCTAAAGTATATATATAAAGTATATGTATGGTATTAAAATTTCATGAGGCGGAAAGCTGCTTAGGAGAAGAAGGCCCCTTAGTGGGGTAATAATGAGAAAAATCCCATTGAGAAACACTGGATTGAAGGAAAACTTAAGAGGAAAAATTATGGTTGGAGAACTGTGGACTGTAAATTGATAAAAATTTAGAAGAATCTCTCAGTTCTGGGAGCATGAGAGCACTACATGACTGAAAACCATTTTAAAAATTGGTAGCAGACATCTCAATACCATACACTAAAATGCTTCTTAAAATGATAGTAAAGAAAGAACACTAGATAACTTTAAATCGAGACTGCTCTAGTATCCAGAGCATAGATTTTGTTTTAAGAAATTCTGTATTCACTGAATTCCTGGTTACCAAGCCCAAGCATTCTGCTATCTTTTTTTTGTTTGTTTTTGTTGAGACGGAGTCTCGCTCTGTCACCCAGGCTGGAGTGCAGTGGCGCGATCTAGGCTCACTGCAACCTCCGCCTCCCAGTTCAAGTGATTCTTCTGCCTCAGCCTCGAGAGTAGCTGGGACTACAGGCGCCCGCAACCACGCCCGGGTAATTTTTTGTATTTTTAGTAGAGACGGGGTTTCACCATGTTAGCCAGGAAGGTCTCGATCTCCTGACCTCGTGATCCGCCCACCTCGGCCTCCCAAAGTGCACATTCCGCTATCTTTTAGAGATCAGTAACTAAAGCTCATGACAAGCCCAAATTTTACTTCATCACAAACTTCCATGTGGTCCTAGTAAAATAGCCCCAAAAATTTTTTAAATATCTGCTTAAAAGTCACACCCATGTAAGCATTGTTTTCTGATTCTATTCAGAGCCCAAAGGTTTTCACATAGACACGTGAGATGGGGAAAATTCAAGCAAACTGAGATCCCGCGCCCTGTCCAAATAGTTCATAAACTTGCAGGTGCAACAAGGATTAGGTGGTCCTAGATTGCAAAGAAACAATGTCTCCAGTGAGTATCTTCTACACAACCAACTTCAGAATACAATTTACAGTATTAGGGATATTGATCTTCTCACCATTATGCCCACATCAGCATCCTGAAAACCAGATTACGTATTGTATCATAATATGTTTAAAGCTACTTCTCAACAGCAATAAAAATTAGCTGGTCTTCTTAAGTCCCAGCAAGCCCCAAGCTCCAAGAGGATAACTCCAGGGCAACATCCTGGCCTTGGCAGCTGCTCAATAAATATCTGATGAATGAAAAAATAAAAGAAAATAAAAGAATACAGTATCTTCAAGCATGTTTAACAATATTTGAAGACTTAGATTTTAATGTGAAAAATCTGACAGAATATAATATTTAGTTATGTTAAAGTGCTTCAGAATAACTGAAAAACTAGAAATCATATTCTGGAGACCAGCCGAGTAATGTAAAAAGTGAAGTGTCTTGTGGCACATCAAGAGCATTCTGGAGGCCGGGCATAGTAGGTCACGCCTATAAACCTAGCATTTTGGGAGGCTGCAGCGGGAGGACTGCTTGAGTCCAGGAGTTTAGGACCAGCCTGGGTAACACAGTGAGACCCCATGTCTGAAAAAAAAAAAAAATCTAGCCAGCCACGCTGTTGTGCACCTGTAGTCCCAACTACTTGGGAGTCTGAGCGGTCAGGCTGCACTGAGCCGTGATTGTGCCACTTTACTCCAGCCTGGGCAGCAGATTGAGACCCCATCTATTAAAGAAATAATTTTTTAAAAGAGCATCCTGGGCCAACATAGTCTTGATTGCTGTATTAGTCCGTTCTCACGCTGCTATAAGGACATACCCAAGACTGGGTAATTTATAAAGGAGAGAGTTTTTTTTTTTTTTTTTTTTTTTGACGGAGTCTCTCTCTGTTGCCCAGGCTGGAGTGCAGTGGCGCCATCTTGGCTCACTGCAAGCTCCGCCTCCCGGGTTCACGCTATTCTCCTGCCTCAGCCTTCCCAGCAGCTGGGACTAAAGGCGCCCGCCACCATGCCCGGCTAATTCTTTTGTATTTTTTTAGTAGAGACGGGGTTTCACCGTGTTAGCTAGGATGGTCTCGATCTCCAAGGAGAGAGGTTTAATTGACTCACAATTCCAAAGGGTTGAGGAGGCCTCAGGAAACTTACAATTATGGCATAAGGGGATTGCAAATACGTCTGTCCTCACACGGCAGCAGCAAGGAGACGTGCAGAATGAAGTCGGGGAAAGCCGCTTAAAAAACCATCAGATCTCGTGAGAACTCACTCACTATTACGAGAACAGCATGGAGGTAACCACCCCCATGAGTCAGTTACCTCCCACCAGGTCCCTCTCACCACACATGGGGATTATGGGAAATATAGTTCAAGATGAGATTTGAGTGGAGACACAGGCAAACCATATCAATTGCCTATCACATTTTACATAGTGGTACCTTGTAGGTACTCAGTTGCAGATTTCCTAAGGTATGCTTTAGAATTCCAAATTCAGAAAAGCCCTTCTCCATCTTCCTCTTCCACTTTATGGTCATAAGGAATTTCTTTACTTCCTTTTTAATGTATATGCTCATAATTAAGTCAATGAGCATTTACATTAATTTTTTTTAATTAGAAACTAACAAGTTGGTTCTCTCTCATCTACTTCTAATAGAAAAATAACATTAATGGAAACAAAGCTGGGCATATTCATGGAAATCTGATCGAATGTGCTAATTTAGTTCATTGTTCTTCAGGTGTACCACGCTATAATTTATTGTGAGTGACAGCATTAATGGTGATTTCAATATAAATATGCAAAAGAAAAAGCCCTGGAGGGAAATAATATAAGGGTGGGTTTGTCAGTTTTCCTTTCTGCAATAAGAAAAATAAAAGTGGGATTGAGCATTCATTCTGCTAGCATATATTAAGAGCCCACCCTCCTGAGACAGATAGCGTTCTAGAAACTGGAAATTTAGCGCTCTCTCTCTCTCTCTCTCTCTCTATATATATATATTTATAGTCATTGGTCTCATAGAGCTCATATTGTAGTGGGCGTTAACAGACAGTGAGTGAAAAAATAAATATATATTTTGTCAGGCAGTGACAGATGCTATGAAGAAAAGGACAGCAGATTCAGAAGATGGTGAATGATGAAAGTGACGCATGCCACTTAGAGGAAGTGATCACAAAACGCAGCCTGATCGGATGGCATTTGAGGACAGCTCTAACAGAAGTGAAAAAGCAAGCTATATAGACTTCTGGAAAAAGATCATTTCAAACAGATATAATAGTAAGTGTAAAGGCTCTGAGGCAGAAAGTTCTTGATAGAGACAACAACAAAAAAAGAAAACAGCAGGAAGTTTTTCACTTGTAAGGTTAGTTTTGCCTGGATCTTCTTCTCTATTTAGACCTTACTGGTCCTTTAAAGTATCTCTCAAGTGAAATCCCTTAAAAGAAGAAATGCCTGGTATCTCTCCAAAAAGATTTGGCTTCTTCACCCTCTGATTCCCAAGAACAACTTGGCTCAGACAACTCTATTTTACAAGTTAACATATTTGTAGATTATAAACACACATCTAGGGTCAAGACTTTGCTACACAATTTTTTTATCCCCTCCTGAACCTAGCTGCCTTATAATGATCTTGGCCAAGCTACCTTGGAAGTCAATAAAAGCATCTGTAATTGAGAGAGGCTTTGCAGAAATGTAAAGGGTCAGTGGGCATTACTTCTTTATAGCTTAGTCTGGTTTGGACTTGGAAAACATACAATATGGCACCCTGACCCTGAGTCTTCCAAAAGACTTACTGAGTTAGTTATTTCTTTGCTGGAATGAGGATGGGCTACTCAGTAGTGGGGTTTGGGCCAGCTTTCGCTTCAGTAATGGCGATGTTAATGGTGATGTTAATCTTGTTCTGTGCATGTGACTTGTTGGATTTAACTTTGGTTCATAGTTCATTTTCTTTGGACTCCTATAGCTGATGGTGGATCAAGGGAAGGAGTCAGGCTGAGAGTATCAAATTTCTTTGTTTCTTCTGTCATCACTGGAAAATAAAGCGTTTGTTTCTCGCATATTTGAAAAAACTGCATACTTCCTGGAGCCACCAGGGCATTCATCTCTATCTCATTTTGCAAAGCCTATTTGAACTTTTTCACATAAACAGAACACTAGTCAAAATACCAAGGGAGTCTCTGTTAATTTACAAAATACATGTGACCTTCAAAAGAACTTCAGCCAGGCACGGTGGCTCACGCCTGTAATCCCAGCACTTTGGGAGGCCTAGGCGAGTAGATCATGAGGTCAGGAGTTCGAGATCAGCCTGGCCAACATGGTGAAACCCCTTCTCAACTAAAAATACAAAAATTAGCCAGACATGGTGGCAGGTGCCTGTAGTCCCAGCTACTCGGGAGGCTGAGGCAGGAGAATCACTTCAACCCGGGAGGCGGAGGTTGCAGTGATTGCAGTGAGCTGAGATCGCGGCACTACACTCCAGCCTGATGATAGAGTGATACTCCGTCTCAAAAGAAAAAAAAAATCCGTCTTGCCCTCTATAAATAGAGCAGATAGCCAAATTGAAAACCAAATGCCAAGGAGTAAAAGAATGGTCATATTTAAAACATACAGTCCACGGAACATAACAGCAACTTCTGTCACTCATATGAAAGTAACAACATTTTTTTTTCACATCAAGAGGTGCATTTTGAACCTTTAAAAACTTGACCCGCTCATTGGACACACAAATGCAGTTGTCTGCCATCTACTGGCAAAAATCAGTATTGGTAGTTTAATTTTTCTAAAAGAACAATTTTTTTTTTTAAAGAAAAATGTAATTGAAGCCCCAGCTTTAAGAGGTGGGGAAACAGTGAAGCCTAGAGAAGACCTCAAGTCTAATTGGCCAAACTGTCCTACTACACCCATCTATTCTAATCTTGACACCGAGTAGAATCAGGCTTGTTTAGAAATTCCCTTACAAGTACTGGTCCAGCTCCTGTGGATTTTCACAAAGACGTAAACCCACAAAGGCAGCGTCTTGTCCTGCTTATTCATCTTTTCATCCCCAGCACTTAGAACCCTGCCTGACACAATTCAGGAACTTAAAAAAACGTAACTAGCAAGTAAACTACCAGTGGAATGGTTGGAAATAGAAGAGATTGTGTGTGGGTCACCTGGCTCGAGGGTTTTGCTACCACAGGAATTTCTAAACTTCTGACAAACAGAGTGATTATTAATTTTGTTTTCTTAACCTAATGTACTACTTTACATTAAATTCATGAAAAAGTATTAGTTGTATGATTTTTGAAATTTACTTATTTATAGAAGACCTTTATAAAATGTCCCCTAACGGATGGGCAAAACCAACTCTGTCCATTTTTTAGACTGTTCACGAAAATAAAACTATTTTGCACTTAGACAGCAGTTCTAGACTATGTTGTCTTTGCTTTTTTGACATCCTGCTGTTTATATAAATAATATACATGATTACTTGCTCAGAAATGTAACCCCTAAACATAGCATTATACCCATGCAAAAATATGGTCTGTTTTTGATAGTCAGCTCCCTGATAGAACTCAAGAGAAAAACAAAAAAAGTTAAGAACTGCGTATATTTGAGATAACACTTTCTGTTTTTATAGTACCCTGTGAACATTGTTAACCATATTTTCCATATATATATATATATATATATATATATATATATATATTTAGATATAGCATGATACATTTAATGGAAGCGGTTTCAACTTAATTTTCCAGCGGACATCTGAGTTCTTGCTCTATTGTGTTTATATTTCAGTGGGAAAGAGCACTCCACCCTTTGCAAAGCCTGAGAAACATCTCAAGTTGAATACGACTCATCTTACCAGAGAGAATGACCTGAGATAATGTACTCCTTGCCAATCCATGCTATTAATCTAACTCAGAAAAAAATAAATGTTCCTTTCTTTCTTTCTTTTTCTTTCTTTCTTTCTTTCTTTCTTTCTTTCTTTCTTTCTTTCTTTCTTTCTTTCTTTTTCTTTCTTTCTTTCTTTCTTTCTTTCTTTCTTTCTTTCTTTCTTTCTTTCTTTCTTTCTCTTTCTCTTTCTTTCTTCCTTCCTTCCTTCCTTTCTTTCTTCTCTCTCCTTTCTTTTTTTTTGAGACAGAGTCTCGCTCTGTCACCCAGGCTGGAGTGCAGTGGTGCGATCTCGGCTCACTGCAAGCTCTGCCTCCTGGGTTCACGCCATTCTCCTGCCTCAGCCTCCCGAGTAGCTGGGACTACAGGTGCCCACCACCACGCCTGGCTAATTTTTTTGTATTTTTGGTAGAGACGGGGTTTCACTGTGTTAGCCAGGATGGTCTCGATCTCGTGATTCGCCCACCTTGGCCTCCCAAAGTGCTGGGATTACAGGCGTGAGCCACCGAGCCAGGTATCTCTCTCTCTCTCTCTCTCTCTCTCTCTCTCTCTCTCCCCCTCCCTCTCCCTCCCTCCCTCCCTCTCTCTCTCCCCCTCCTTCCTTCTGAAATGTTGGATCTTAAAATTTAGCAAGCAGAAGTACTATCTAAGGTACAGTGTTTAGAATGCAGATTGACAGACCCTGTCCCCATTTTTATTCAGCTGGTCTGCTTTCAATCCCCAAGGTTGAATCTTTAGCAGACATCCCATATGATTATGATGTATACGATCCTGGGCCACACATGATCACCCCTCCAAGTCCCTGTGATTGAAAGCTTTCCAAGTGGTTACAAAAACCTTCAAGAGAGCTTGCTACTTGTGGCATCTGATGATCAACCAATAATGACTACTGGCCACTAGAAATTAGCTGGTGAAAGGAACCATAATTTCCAGGAGATCCAAAAGACTACCCCTCTCAAAATGTGAGGGTCACCAGTGTAACCATTGTATCTACAAAAACAATGCTCCAGGCAAGGGAAGTTCTGAATCTCAGTCAGAGAAATTCTAGTATGTTCTGCATATAAGTCATCAGGAACTGCTTACTGTTCACTAATGGATAAACTATTTTGTCATCATCAAGGTACATTGAAGACTGCTAAAACTCATGTTTCTTTTTCTCCTCCAAAGGGAACAGTAACAAGGAACTCAGTCAACAACAAATACTTAATGAAAGTCTATTATGTGCCAAGCAGGCCCTTGGGATAGATCAGTGAATAAAACATAAAAATCTCTGCCTGCACAGGTACCTAAAGCATCATTCCATTTAGTGAGTTTCTACAAGGTGTAAAGTCTACGAGGCGTATGGAGAAATAAATAATTGGTGGCTTCTGATGAGAAGCTCAAAATCTAAAGGACAAGGAGAGTTATTTACATAATTTATTTAAAGGCAGATAAGTATGGTAAATGTTATAATAGATGTGAGAATAACATACTAAAGGAGCATGGGGATTGAAAAAGATGTACAGTCAGCCCTCTGTATCTGTGGGTTCCACATCCGTAAATTTAACTAATCTCGCATCAAAAATATTCCAGAAAAAAAAATCCACAAAGTTCCAAAAAGCAAAACTTGAATTTGCCTCATGCTCAGTACTATGTTGAATCCACTCAAATGAAGTGATGCGTAGGCACTGCATTAGGTATTATAAGTAATCTAGAGATGATTTAAATTTCATGGGAGGATATGCATAGGTTATATGTAAATACTGTGCTGTTTTATACAAGAGACTTGAGCATCCTGTGATTTTGGTATCCACTAGAGGTCCTGGAGCCAATACCCGTTGGATACTGAGGGACGACCATATTTTCCTGAGGACTTCAGGCCTAATATTTTTAGGACAGCTACAGCCAAGCTAGGGAGAATAAATTTGGAAGTGTGGTTTCCACAGAAACCTAGAGGAAGGACAATGGAGTCACATCCAAAGAACCACAAGCAGGCTGATGTGGCTACAGTGACATGACAGAGCGGGGAAAGGGAGATGGAATCAAAAGTTACGTAGAGGTAAAATTGTAGGTCTTGTTACAGAACCGTAAAATCCAAAAGAGACTGAAAGCAGGGAACAAGTTAGAGGCTATTGGAGCCTTGTAAGGGGGAGATGATGGGAAAGACCTGGATCAAGGAGGTAGTAGTGAGAACAGGTGGCAAGTAATTAATGTGGTGCAGTTTAGGAAAATTCAATAGGACTTATAAGCTGCACGTAAAGAGGGAAGTTATCTTTGCAAACATTCAGAAGGATTCAAGTCTGAATCCTTGCTTCTCCTTGGAACACTGTGATGAAATCAATGCATATAGGAAAAGTAGGAAGAGTGGAATATTTTGGAGAAAGGTGATGGGTTCCAATCTCCAAATCATACATTAGAGGTGCCTGATGGATATTCTTTGTAGAAATGTCTAAAAGAGGGCCAGAAATGAATATGTAGCACTTGGGAGGGGGTTTGACACTTGAGATCTGTTTCTACTAATACTTGATGCCATAAATGCCGTAAATGCCGCTGCAAACAACAAGAGTGAATAAAGAGGCCAGGTCATCTCCAGGCAGTGACTTAGCAGGAGTCTACATAGAAACTTAGACATGGAGTCAGAAGATCCAGGCTTAGAGTTTTGCAGCTTTGGGTGTGGCATTCAACCTTTTCAGATTCCAGGATCCTCAAATATAAAATAAGAGGCCTCCATTAGATAATCTTAAAAATCCCCTCAAAGTCTGCCGGGCATGGTATCTCACACCTGTAATCCCAGCAATTTGGGAGGCCAAGGAGGGTGGATCGCCTGAGGTCAAGAGATCGAGACCATCCTGGCCAACATGGTGAAACCCCGACTCTACTAAAAATACAAAAAAATTAGCTGGGTGTGGTGGTGTGTGCCTGTAGTCCGGGCTACTCAGGAGGCTGAGGCAGGAGAATCGCTTAAATCCGGAAGGCGGAGGTTGCAGTGAGCCGAGATTGCACCACTGCACTCCAGCCTGGCAACAGAGACTCCATCTCAAAAAAGAAAAAAAAAAGGAAAAAAGAGAGAGAAGAATTTTGGGATCAGGAGAAGACAAAATACAGAATGGTAACTTGAAAAGTTGCAAGGGTAAGAAAAAGTGTACTTTAAGGAAAGTCAAGTCAAACGTTCCATAGTTAGAGGAAAATATCTTACAGAGAAGCAGGGTGGAGAGTGCCAGTGTGGGAGGAAGAAGATCTGAGCGTGCAGTAGAAAAGTGTTATGGAGCACAGATTTCTGTTTTTGATGAAGCTGGAGAATGGCCACAGGCTGTCTTACTTGCCACAGCCTTCAGACCCAGGTACCAGTTTCTTTATTCAGCCCGGTTCCATGTTGTGGCCTGACCCTTGATAATCAGTATTTCATCCGTAGCTTAACACGGTCTAGGCCTGTCCCTAAGACTGTGGGAATGTTTCAGTCCCTCCCAGAATCAACTTTGATTTTCTTTTCAAGCCTAGACCCTTGGGTTGTTCTCTTTTTGCCTGGTTCCTGCTTCTGATGAGAAAGATATGCACGCATTTTATATAAAAGGCAACATGGTACAACCTGGATTCACTGAGCTTCTGCGACATCATCAGCTGTTTAAGCTGAGGAAAGTCCTCAGTATGTTTCAGTTTCCTTTTATGTATATATAAAAAAGATAATAACAATTTCTATTTAAAGAGGGTTGTTGACTGCATGGTACTGGCATAAAAACACACACACACAGACCAATGGAATGGAATAAAGAGCCCAAAAATAAATCTTTGTATTTACGGTCAACTGATCTTCAACAAAGATGCCAAAAACACACAATGAAGAAAGGATACTCTTCAACAAACGCACTTGGGAGAACTGGATATCCACATGCAGAAGAATGAAATTGGATCTTATCTCACACCAAATACAAAAATCATATCAAATTGGATTAAAGACTTAAATTTAAGGCCCAAAACTCTGAAACCACCATAAGAACACACTGGAAAATGTTTAGAACATTAGTCTCGGCAAAGAACTTTTGGGTAAGATCTCAAAATCACAGGCAACAAAAGCAAAAATAGACAAATGGAATTATATCAAGAGAAAACGTTTCTGCATGGCAAAGGAAAAAATAAACAAAGTGAAGAGGCGACCTAAACTATGGGAGAAAATATTTGCAAACTATCCATCTGACAAGGGATTAATAACCAGAACATATAAGGAAGTCAAAAACTCAATAGCAAAAAAGAAAATAATCTGATTAAAAAATAGGCAAAAGATGTGAACAGAGATTTCTCAAAATAAAACTTACAAATGGCCAACAGCTATATAAAAATAAAACTAGCGGCCAAGAGTCATGGCTCACGCCTGTAATCCCCACACTTTGGAAGGCCGAGGTGGGCGGATCACTTAAGGCCAGGAGTTTGAGACCAGCCTGGCCAACATGGCGAAACCCTATCTATCATAATACAAAAATTAGCCAGGCATGGTGGCAGGCACCTGTAATCCCAGCTACTTGGGAGGCTGAGGCAGGAGAATCGCTTGAACCAGAAGACCGAGGTTGCAGTGAGCCAAGATCATGCCATTGCACTCCAGCCTGGGCAACAGAGTGAGACTCTGTCTCAAAAAAGTAAAATAAAATAAAAATAAATAAATAAATAAAACTACCATAGGACCCAGCAATCCCGCTACTGGGTATACATCCAAAGGAATTGAAATCAATATGTCAAAGTGACATCAGCACTCCCATATTCACTCCAGCACTCTTCATAATAGCCAAAATATGGAACCAAACTAAGTGTCTATCAACAGAAGAATGGAGAAAGAAAATGTGGTATATATACACAATAGATACCATTCACGCTTAAAAGAGAAGAAAATTCTTCCTCCGCAACCAAATGATTGGACTTGGAGGACGTTGTGTTAAGTGAGATGAGTCAGGCACAGAAAGACCAATGCCACATCTTCTCATTTACATGCAGAATCCCAAAAAGTGGAACTTATAGATGAAGAGTAGAATGGGAGTTTCCAGCGGGGACAGGGAAGGGGTGATGGTTGGGGAGATGTTGATCAAAAGGTACAAAGTTTCATTTAGGATGAATAAGTTTGAGAGATCTATTGTACAACACAATGATAACTATGGTTAATGATAACTAACACGTGATAACTGCTAAGAGAATAGATCTTATAACATTCTCACAGCAAAAAAAAAAAAAAAAATCAGAGGTCATGGATATATTAATTAGTCTGATGTAATCATTTCACAAAGTACCACGATATCAAAGCATTACACTGTACACCATAAATATATATAATGTTTAATTGTCAACTATACATGAAAAAAGAGGGCTGTTGATTCAATGAGATATTGTCTGAAAATCTGAAGCCTTATAATTCATTATAATTATCAGCAGTCATCATCATCATCACCATCGTTACCTGTTCTTTCTTCAGGATATCTTGCATTGGCTAAAAGTTACTTTCTTTGCCCATGGTGGTTCCTGGGGTCTTCAGGCCTTCAAAGAGACCTTGGTTCCAACATATTACTTTTTCTTTTTTAATCTGCTTTCAAAGTATTCACTTCCTTTCTTTTTCTTTTTTCTTACCTTAATATATGGGCATTTTTTTGTGGGTATAATTTTAGACTATACATTTCCAAGTTATATCCTGCTTGCCTTCCAAAGAGAATCTGAGAATGCTTATATTAAAACTGAAAGGTTAAGAAAAATCCTAAAACAAAAGGGAAGTAATATACAGAAAAACCAAGCAAAACTGTCCACTGTGATTGAATGTTATTTTTAGGTCTAAGTTTCCTAGCAGCCAATGCAAAAATGAAATAAATATGCCTTAATTTTATTATCAGATAATTGCTCTTATTATTCCAAAGGAGGTTCAATTTTCACTTGTATTAAATTCTACAGGAAACACACAATCCATATGGGAGGAGACATATTAACTATACCAATGGACAAAATCTTCAGGGGTTTGATAGAAGATGTAGAAATATTCTTTATATTGGCCAGGCGTGGTGGCTCATGCCTGTAATCCCAGCACTTTTTGGGAGGCCGAGGCGGGCAGATCACTTGAGGTCAGGAGTTCGAGACCAGCCTGACCAACATGGTGAAACCCCGTTTCTACCAAAAATACAAAAATTAGCCAGGCGTGGTGGCACACGCCTGTAATCCCAGCTACTTGGGAGGCTGAGGCAGGAGAATCGCTTGAACCCAGGAGGCAGACGTTGCAGTGGGCCAAGATCATGCCATTGTACTCCAGCCTGGGTGAAAGAACGAAACTCCATCTCAAAAAGAAAAAAATACATTATTTATATAATTTCACTAACCCAGACTGCAAAAGTCTCCTATTGATTCAAAGTTGTAATCTTTTATTGTCTTACATTCTACTTTTAAGTTTCTTCTTCATAAGATACAGTCTCCTTTGCTGCTATCTCTAGGTTCCTCAAACATACTCCTGTCCTCCCTCTACCCAGGAAAATGACCTTCCCGAGTTCCACAACAGAACTATTTCTTAAATGACAAATATGGTATCAGTAACAAACATTCATCATTATGAAGACTTATCTCTCCAAAATTTCAAAGGGAATATTGATGTTTACTTCTAAAAGAATTTTCTTTTCAACAAATGCTTTATTGTGTGCCCCCAGTTACTGGCATTCTAAGACACGGCTCACATAACATTTTCCTTTTGTTTTTCACACTGCTTCTTCCTAAATTGTAGTTTTATTAAATACACTAAAATTTTTGGTATATCTTTTACAACATTTTCTATATATATATAGAAATATATATAGATATATTTTTATAGAATATATATTTATATATTTTATAGAAATATATATATATATATATAAATACATGTATTTTTTGAGACAGAGTCTCGCTCTGTTGCCCGGGCTGGAGTGCAGTGGCACGATCTCCGCTCACTGCAACCTCTGCCTCCCGGGTTCAAGAGATTCTCCTGCCTCAGCCTCCCAAGTAGCTGGGACTACATGCATGTGCCAGCACGCCCGGCTAATTTTTTGTATTTTTAGGAGAGAAGGGGTTTCACTGTGTTAGCCAGGATGGTCTCAATCTCCTGACCTCCTGATCCACCCATCTCGACCTCCCAAAGTGCTGGGATTACAGGCGTGAGCCACCACACCCGGCCACAACATTTTCTATATTTTTATTTCAAATTTATATTCATTAATGGAACAAAAAGTAATATACCTATACATATGTGTGTTAGATGATAGATAAATATGTACACATTCAGAATTCAAAATGAGTCACCTATTCTTTATGGAGCAAAATAATTTGAAAACTTACATTTCAGTATAAAATTGCAATCTGAGAGTTCACGTCATCAAATATGATAATTTTAACTTGTCATCAAAGATAAATGATTACTACTTCACCCGCAGTTCATCACTCAACATTAGCCTAAAGACATAAGTATAGCTTGGAACTTCCGGGGTAGTATTTGTGTCTTACTGTTACAGATCCGAAGTCTAGCACAATCTGAGGAGCAGAGAGAGAAATTGCTGAATAAAGGCATATTTAAGTGATCAGAAATTCAAAGCAAACATATTTCTACATTGCTAGGCCATTTTAAGCAGATTGGTTTTTATGCAGTTAAATCAGTCAATCTTTTGGAATAAGTTGCAGATTTTAAGAAGAGGAGATAGATTTACATTTAAAGTCAAGTTGCAAGAGTCTATTATTATCCCAGTTTTGTATAGAGTAAATGTTAGAATATGTATAGAAAAATATCAGAGGCAATCCTGTCGTGACATCAAACTGTTAACCATAGTTGTCTTTGGGGGCATTGGGTTATGGTGGACTTTTACTTTTGATATATATTTCCATAATGTTTGAATTTTTGTATGACATATATTACTTTTATAAGGAGACAAACAACAAAAACACTATATTTACTCTTTTCGAGACTGGATCTTGTTCTGTTGCCCAGGCTGGAGTGCAGTGGCACCATCACAGCTCACTGCAGCTTTGAACTAATGGGCTCAAGGGATCCTCCTTGCCTCAGCCTCCCATATAGCTGAGACTACAGGCAGGTGCACAATCAAATCCAGCTGATTTTTAATAATTTTTGTAGAGATTTTTTTTGCTAAGTTGCCCAGGTTGGTCTTCAACTTCTGGCCTCAAACCATCCTCCCACCTCAGCCTTCCAAAGTGAGCCACTGTGCCTGTTTACATATTTTATATGCGAATGTGCACACTGAGCATTTATGAAGAAGACTCTGCACTAGATACTTGAAAGCAGTCAAAGACCAACAAAACACAGCATCTTTCAAGGAGTTCACAGTCTGATATTTCAAACAATTTGTGGCACACACACACTAAAACCAAGAGTGAATGTAATCAGGGATAAAAGTGAGATTCTGATAGAGTAACAGAAGATGAATTCGTTTCAAGTGGTCCTTGACAAATTGCTAAAATTTGGATCCCTGATGATGTGGCACAAAGGGCATCCTATGCAGCAAGAGAACGTGGCAGAGGATGAGGATACCTGCAACAGCAAGTACCAGGGTAAAGTGAAGGGTGACCTTGAGACTTGAGACTGAACTCAACATGCAAACCCAAGCCATGAAATAGGGTGAAGCTGATGCGAGACATTTAGTCTTTATTCAACAGGCAATGGAAGGTGATGTCAAAGAAGGTGTTCAAGGGTAGGAGAAAGATGATCACATTTGGTCCTCAATAACAGTAATCTGTGTAAAATGGATCAAAGGCAATAATATGATCAATGAGATCATCTGGGAAGCTCAGAGACTAAGAAAAGATACAAAGCTAAAACATAAAGCCTTTCTTCTCAGTGTGGTCTGAGCACAGAGGAGCAGTATCTGCATCACCTGAAGGCTGGTTAGAAATGCAGATTCTCAGGCCCCAACCCAGCCCTCATGGATCAGAGTCTGCATTTTATCAAGATCCCTATGTGATCTGAATGCACATTTAAGTTGCAGAAATGATGAATTAAGATATTGGTAGCAGGAGGGGAAAGTAGCCAAGAAGGTTGAGATCTTACTTGGTTGAATCATTAGAATTCGGTACCTGGCTAAATGTAGGAGGTGAGGGAAGAGAATAAATCAAGATCACTTGATTTATTCATAACATTTGAGCTGTAGGATGGTCATGCTATTCATAGAAATAGGAACCCCAGGAGGGGAACAGGATGAGGAAGAAGGAGGGGAAGGCTGTGCTATCCAGCAAGCACATGGAAATGCTCCTTACTGAAGCCAAGTGACCCACATGGAAAGGGTATTTGAAATCGTGAAGACAGAGGCAGGTACAAAAGGAGAGGCAACGGAAGAGTATGGGAGTCAACCAGGGAGAAATTGCTGGAAAGCCCTACACTCTGCAGAAAATAGGGGTGGGGAACAGGAAGAAGAGAAAAGAACCAGAGGAGAGAAGAGAGCTAGGTAGGTATAATTCTCTGAAAATTAAGGGAGTTTAAAGGGATTGCTAAGAGATTAACCAGGACAGACAAGGAAGGGCTACCCGTTTTATGACTAAGAGGTTACAGGTGACTTTTGGAGAAGTCATTGCTATAAACCTCATGAAGGTGGATGAGAGGAGTCAAAAGATTTAAAGTCAGAGGGTAATGAGATTAGGGGAGTGTGATTGCTGTTCGGTGAGTGTAATTGAAAAGGTTAAGAAAAATCATGAAAATTTAGAAGTGGCACATAGGACCAGGTTGAAATAACTTTAAACTTCTCAACTTTAAAGATTTTCTTGTGGAAGAAAGATCAGAAGTGTTCTCATCATAATTCTCAGAATTATTAAGAAGGCAAATAAGTACAATGAGAATTAGATTTTTGGCTCAATATAAAGGGGATCTGCATCTCACTGCTCTGTGAAAATGGAATGACCCCCCTGGTGAGTGTTAATTTCTCAAACATACAGACTGCACAGTTTAACACAAGAGAGAGGTCCAAAGCCAAAAGTTGTTCATTAATGACATCTGCAGTGGTCTGAATGGCGGTCCCTCCAAAAGATGTGCCCACCTCCTAATCCCCAGGTTCTGTGATTACCTTATATGACAAAAGATGTGATGTGATGAAGTTAAAGCTCTTGAAAGGAGGAGCTTATCCTAGATTTTCTGGCTGGGACTTCACTGCAATCACACATATCCTTATAAGACAGGCATATACAGGAGGAGACAGTGAAAGAGGTGGAGGAGGCAACGTGACCACAGAAGCAGAGATTGGAATGATATGCTCACAAGTCAAGGAATGCAGATAGCTACCAGGAGCTGAAGGAAGAAAGGAAGGATTCTCCCCTAGGGTCTTTAGAGGAAGTGCAGTCTTGCCAACACCTTGATTTCAGACTTCTGGCTTCCAGAATTGTGAAAGAATAAACTTCTGTTTTAAAACCTAAGAAATTCACGCAACATCTAACATCCCCTTCCAACCCAGATTTGTTTAGTTACACTCACATTGATCATATGCTCTGAAAAGCAGAGCCCTTGACTTACTGTGTATCCAAAACAGAATGTCCATGGTACTTTGCACATTAGATGATACTGATATGAAAGATGTGATAATGGATGTATATACAACACCTATGTAAATGAACATAGGTGGATTAGATATAAAGAGATAGATAATTGATAGGTAGATAGATGGAATGATTGAGTCATTTACTCATTCTACTCAAACATGTATTTATTATATATTTACTTATATACTCTCATGAAGGTAACTTCTTTGGAGAGAATCAAAATAAATACTACCTGGGTTATCCTTGAGCATCAAATTTTATATTAAAAATGGTGAGTGCCACTAGTATTCAGAGTAGAGGGAAGTGATTTGTAGTTGTTTAGTCAGACCGATTTTCAGTTTCTAACATTCAAATGAATCAAGGGATTTAAAATAATTAGTCACAGGGAAAAACAGAATGATAGCTGCGCTCAAGGAAAGCTGGAAGAGTTTGGCTGGTCCTTGCATGATGGAAAGGATCTGGGGTGAGGAGAGAAGAAAGGAGGACTCCATATAAAGAAACATCATGGCCATTCCAGATTCCCATCACCTCTCCCTTCACACAAGCTACTGCATGTGGCATGTGTTATCGGGCATGTGAGAAAGCACAGGAAACACGGCAGGAGGATCATCACGTCTATTTCAAGTATGAGAACTTCTTTTCAATGTAAATCGTTTGAGAGACCTCCCACAACAGAAGTTGTGCTTTTAGACTATTTTGCACTAAGAAAATTGAAAAATCACAAAAAAGACTGTGTTCAATAACATTTTTAAATGACTATGGATATACATTTAAATATAGTCATCAACATATTGTCAATTTGAAGCCAAAAACCCAACAATATTTAATATTTATATGGGATCTTCTTTCTTTCTTTCTTTATTGAAGAGATGGGGGTCTTGCTATGTTGTCTAGGCTGGAGTACAGTGGCTATTCACAGGTGCAATCATAGTACATTATAACCTTGAACTCCTGGCCTCAAGTGATCTTCCTGCCTTAGCCTCCCGAGTACCTGGGACTACAGGTGTATGCCACTATGCTCAGCCAAAATTTATATGGATTGTGAGTCTACAAAATACCACTGGATTAGGTTTCAATGGAAGTGAGAGCTAGCTCGATGGAATGTCAAATGGCTGTGGGCAAGAATTGGCCTGTATGTATTAATAGTTAGCAGTAACCAGGTTTCCCTCCAGTCTGGATCCCATGGGCAATTCTAGTGGGAGAAAATGTACTCCAAAGTGACAAGTCTTAAAAAATGTAGACAAAGGCTGTTAGCAGCTCCTTTTTCCTACAGTTTAGTGACAGAATATTTTTATATGTATCTATGTCTATAGCCATAGCTACCTATGGTAAATTAGAAGGCTTCAGTAGAAGAGCACCAAAACACTTCACAGCCATAAATGCAGGGAAGTACACACTTGGTAGCCCCTCTCTCTGGGAACTCTCTCCAAAACAGGCTGAAAGTATTTCACCTTGGTTTAAACTCACCTGAATTTTATCTGAACAGCAGTAGTCGGCGGATATCCTGCCTGAACCAGGATGTCTACATTAGCACCACTTCCTGTGCTAGAGGTGACAGAAGGTAGACGATGTCATGGCTCAGCTGGCATGCCAAATTTCAAGGGAACAGTGGGGACAGGAAGCAGGCTAGGACTGGGCTAGAACAAATGACCTAATGAAGGATTAATTCTGTAGTGGATAGTCAGCCACTCAAATTACATTGCTTGGGAGAGGTGTGGAGAACTGAGATTTGATCCTGCCAACAATGACAGACAAGGAGAATTTATTTGTCAAGTGGAACCGGGCACTACAAGTCTCAGGCGGAAATGATGCACTGTCAGGAGAGGAGCTGTGCCTTAGGTCCAAGGGTTTGTCACACTGAGATTGAATCAGAGACAGAATAGAAAGAAAGGGGTCTTGCTCCTGGAGAGAAGTTCTTGGCAAGGGCGAGGCTGACTGCCAAGGTCATAGCTAAAATTTTCCCAGGCCAGACATTAAATCCAGTACTGAAAGTGCAAATTGAAAACTCAATAAAATCCTAGTCCTACGAAATGGTAAATATGACAGGAGTTAGAGAAACTGAGGTGAGGGGGGCATGAGAATTGCTAGAGCTCACTAGGGTTAGGACAGACTCTGCACTGGTTGTGGAATCAGAAGGGCCAGGCTCCTGAGTCCCATGCAGAGCAGGCTTGGAAAGGCAAGGTCTCAAAGCCCACAAGGCATCTGCCAGCTACTGTTTATCAAATTGGTTTTTGTTTTTTGTTTTTAATTTTTGGCCACCATTGTTTTTCTCAAAGTGTTCATATTCCGGATGGCTTCAGGATGAACTGGCACAATTGGTGAGAAGCTGGCAGGGGCTCAGAATATTCCTTCTGTTGACTTCCTGTCATCACTACTGGACCCTAGGTCTGTGTCAATGTGGCAAGCTGCAGCTGCAGCCTCAGCAGAGGAAGCTAAGAAGGTGCACGTCAGCCAGAGTCCTTGGCCTTCAGGAGGGGATGAGCGGGAAGTTCCAACAGGTGGGAGAATGCAGATCGCCAGCCTAAAAGAGAGAGCCTGCCAGAGGCTGGGGAATCTGCAAGCTGCCAAAACTTCTGGATAGAAAACAACACACAGAGGCCAAAAACTGAGCCAGAGGGCCACTACATACTGGCGCTCAGTGCTGTCCATCATGGTGTACTGAGGGGGCTCTGGGTTCCAATCAAGCACTGCATTTCAGAGTTTGTTCAAAAAGCACATCCACATGCACTGGATTCTCAAAACCAATCCATGGTATGGACAGGGCAACTACTATGGTCTTCAAGTGTACAGTGGGGAATGAAATGTTTGAGGTCACACAGTTATCACATAAGCCACATTATGGTTTAATATTTTCAATTGCTTCACCAAACCAAAATTACTATTATGATGATGATTATGTAGAGACAGAGTCTCAGACTCTCGTACAGGCTGGAGAGCAGTGGCATGATCCTGACTCACTGCAGTCTCGAACTTCTGCATTCAAGCTATCTTCCCACTGCATCTTCCTTAGTAGCTAGGAATACAGGTGCACGCCACCATGCCTGGCTAAGTTTTTACACTTTTTGTAGAGATGGGGTCTGGCTATGTTGCCTAGGCTGATCTTGATTTCCTTGCCTCATGTAATCCTCCTGCCTTGGCCTCCCAAACTGCTGCCATTACTGGCATGAGCCACTGTGCCCAGACCAAAATTATTTTTATTTCTTGCATTGAAGACAACACTAATGGAGATCTATACTGTCTGGGGCATGCAACTGCTAGGGAAGGTAGCAGGCTAACAGAGCTCTCCAGGTGCTAGTTCACTGATGAAAAGGGAAGCCTTTCATGAGGCAGAGAATTGCTTGAACCTGGGAGGCGGAGGTTGCAGTGAGTCAAGATCATGCCACTGCACTCTAACCTGGGCGACAGAGTGAGACTCCATCTCAAAAAAAAAAAAAAAAAGTGAGGGAAGCCTTTCATACCTGCACACCCTCTCCGTGGAGGGTGGGCAGAGGGAGCAATGCAGTGATGAGTGATTTGAAGAAATACTCTGCTTAGCATTTGATCTGAACAAAGATATATTCCCTAATGGAGAAGATAGGGCCTTTCAGACACCAGAAACTAACTTCTAATTTAACTGATTTTGCCTCCTGTCATATACATTAGATTATCTCTTCATAAAATTAAAACTTTCCATTGATGTTGAAATTTTATTCCAAAGTTCTGAAAGGCTAGTAATTTTTCAGAACAGGGCTTCTGCTGGACTTGCTGAACTTTATAGATGAAAAATATATTGCATCTAGGAAAACACTATATTAAACAATTAAGCATAAAGGCACATTTTATTATGCTGATTAACTTTTAAAAGTAAACGTGGTAGAGGGATTTGATTACAATTTTATTAAGCTCATAGATACCTTTTACAATAGTCTTATGTAAGGAGAATACATTTTAAATTCACAAACATAAAAGACAACATCTCTAGTTACTCACTGATCCTCCAAAATCACACTGTGAGAATAATGCTATTAGTCATCATATGATATAAAATCAGGTTCCATAAGTGAAGGACAGATACACTTCTCTGCATACTGATCAGTCTCCATCTTCATATGATTCACGGTTCATTCATCTCCTATCTAAAGTGCCACTACACCACAGCTGTTCCCAGTATAAACTTCCCGGCACTGCAAACAAGACCCAATTTCTTAATAGTCACACTGGAATCGTCCAGGCCATTTAGCAGTAAGCAACTGAGCTTGCCAATGTTAACAAAGTTATTAGGCAAGAACAATATGTTGGCTGGGAAAATGACAGAGATTTTAACTAAAAATCTGAAAATATGTATTACTTTATAATTTACAAATACATAAGGCAACTTTGCTTTTAACCATATCGTTTAACTTTCTGTCTATTCAATTTACAAGTGTGAATCTAAGAAATTCTATGTCTGCCAATTTCACATTTTTTCCATGCCCTCTTTCAACAGGTTGCCTGCAATTAAAGGCTAAAATATCATTAAAAGAACTTCACATTTTTACATACTCTAATTTATAACAAATTTTCTTTGTTAAGAAATTAAATCATTTGTCTTTATAAGGAAAAAATGAGAAGGTACACTCTAAAGAACTTTTACACATGCCTAAATAATCTTCAGAAGTAAATAATACTTTTGAAGTGACATTTTACTTCCCCCTACCCCAGAATAAAAGTAGGGTACTGAATATTCATCATAGATTTCTCTAAATTTTAAAGCAAACTTTCCTAAATAAGCTTAAATGTAGGTTTAATACAGAACTACTCATTATAACACTTGTTCTTTCTTTAAAACTTGACCAATTCCACATTTGCTCCTTTTCCCAAATTACATTTTTCCCTTACAATAATTTTCCACACAGAAAATTTATAAAGATTTTTCAAAGTCTACTTTTTATCTCATTTTCTTTTTCAACTGTCATGTTCATTCGATTAATGACGCAACGTTATTTAAAAAACAATATTTCGACATTGCTATTTTCGTGCTACATTCGATCTCATAATACCCCCCAACCTAGAGAAACATTCTAAATCCGACCGGCAATGTCATTATTTTTAAATTAGTAATTAAGCGAACGTTATATTTCCATATGGAAACCACTACAAAAATAACGTGCTTTCTAGCCCAACAATAGCTAATTATGTATTAAGCTAATTGAGACAAACCATGTAAACAAAATCTAAAGATAGACTATTCGGCGGTAGAAGCTATGATGTAAACCACATTTCTGTGGCATGTTGGAATGCACACTGAAGAAGCAGGCATGTTCCTTGCACATGTATACTTCGGGATATCAGCTCTTATAACAAGAGGGTGCACTCAACACCTCGTCTATCCCACAATATTTGGAACAGAAATACCTTAGTTTTTTATTAACGTGCTACCACTACAATACGCTTATATGCAGGTATCTGCTCTAGGTTTAGTTTTCCCCTTTCTGAACTATATGTTCATAGTCTCTCTTAAGTAAATACATGGGCATTGTTTTAAACACAGGAAATAATGATGAATGGTTCATGCGATATAACGATCTCACAATATGAAATTATCTGGACTATATAATCACTGCACCCAGTTAAAAATTATTTTTCAAATAGTAACCTACAAAGGTCAAAATGGGGGGAGGGGACAGGTTATCTGTCTTGGAACTCAGAGGGCAAGAGAGAAAGGAAAAGTCTGTGCAAAGCATATGGTGAAATAACCAGTGTTCTTAACCACACATCGCTTTGATAAATACATTTTTGTCCTAAAGAGGGCCGCCCTTTCACATTGCAAACACGGACACTGGCGGGGATCGAGGGGACATATCCTTGCAGCCTTTGGACAGGTTCCAGTAACACTTGCAGACAAATGAAGGTTTGCATTCTTGAAACCTATCCATATGGATGCAGTTCCCAAATCCCTGCTGCCTCTACCACTTCCAAATGCGTGCAAGGAGAGTCGGACACACGCACAAGCATGCAGAACAGGATCTCAATTCCAGCACGCACACCGCGAAGTAGACAAGTGAATTCTGCTGCTGGAGTCAACTGTCCGCCCGCCCCCGCCGTTTAAAAACACGCAAAAATTAACCTCGCTATTAGGAGGCTATGCTGAGGAAGTGTTCCAAAGAGGAGAACCGGTGCAGTCCAGCGGCCGCTGCCTCGCGAGTGCAGACTCTCCCCGGGTCAGTAAAGATGCGCACTAGGCTAGGTACCTTCGCCCAAGTGTTACTCGAAGTGCCAAATTTGCCTTCTCGCCCCCTGAAATGCAATCCGAACTTGCGGCCCCACTGCGAGGTTGGCGGGTGCCAGCTTTAGCCTTCTTAGAAATGACAGGAAACCAAATGGGGAGATGGGAGACAAACGCTCAACACACGAGTGCGCTCACAAACACACCCGGAGCCCAGTAGCTCCTCATGCTCGGGCACTTTGGAGCCTCAGATCCGGCAGTGGCGAAGAGAGAATCGAAGCGAGGGAGAGCGGGGTGGGACGTCCCCGACTCTCTCCCGGCCACCGCTCGCATGATTCCCGTCCCTTTCGGGGCACTTGAGTGCCAGCGGGCGTTCCCCACCCTCAGTCCCAGAACTCCAACTCCGCACCAGATCGCGCTGTCGGAATTCAAGTGCCCCCATCTTCCCCAAATCAACAGCCTCTCTCGTCCCTACCCAGCCCCTTCTTTGGACTCCAAACACAAGACCTCTCCTACCCGCGCCGAAAACTTTTTCCTCCTTTCGCAACGAGATAAGGCAAGAAACCAGGTCAGCCGCTACCGCCACCCGCTCTGCCCAGCGCCTGGGTGGCGGGCGCCGTCCCTACCTGGCAGCTGCGCTCCAGGTGGCTGTCCCACGCCGGTCTCCGCGCCTGCCCGGTGCGCGGGTGGCGTCCGCTCCACCTTCCCTTCGTCTCCTCCGGCTCCGCGTTCAGGGAGCGACTGTCCTTAAGATCGTGCCCCCCTGCCCGGAGCCGCCCTTCAGTTCATCGCCCGTCTTCCCAGAAGCGCTGCTGCGGCCCCGGCGGACTGATGAGGAGCCTGGAGATCCGCGATGGCACCGATGGCCCCGCGGTGTGCGCTCCGGGGTCTGAGAGCGCTCCGCCCGCGGGCAGCTGCGGCCGCGCGTCACATGCCGCCTCCGGGCAGCGGCCGCGGCACCTGCCCAAGCGGCAGCGCTCCCGGCTCGGCAGTGCCGCCCCCGCGCCCTGTGCTCCCCTGCACGCTCCGGCCCTTTCTGTTCACGCCCTTTTCCCTCTGTCTCCCGCCTCACTTTTTCTCTTCTTTCCGTCTCCTTCTTTATCGTGTATTCCCTTTCTCCAAAAGCAGAGAGAAGGCGCTCCAAGGGGGAGGAGAGGTCTTTTCCTCCCCACGAACTCTTCCTCTGCCTGGTGGTGGCGGTCGTGGCTACTGCTGGCCGCTCCTCCTCTCCTTCCTCCTCGCGTTCCTCCTGCTCCTCCTCCTCCCCGGACTGAGAGAGCTGGTGTAATGCACAGGCTGCGTGCTTGAGACCAAAACCTGCCCGGCTTCTGAGCATGCCCAGTTGCCCTGCCGGCGCCTAGCTCCATTCCCGCGTGCCCGCTGGGCTCCGCGTTCTCCGCCTGGCAGGGGGCGAGGAGATCCCAGGGTACTCCTGGGGTGGGTTGGCTGAAAGCGGAACACCAAGCAGGAGAGAGGGGGGCCTCACCCACCCAGCATGGCCTCACCTGTTCCCAAATTGTGCCTCCCGCGGCGCTTCAAAGATAGATTTTGCCGGTCTGTTAGTTTTGTTGTGTTCGCTTTTAAATTGGTTTCCCTGGACTGCTTAGAAGGACTGGAAGGAATTCGATTCCTTGGGCACAACTTATCGATGAGTGAACTTCAGCTCAGTTACAATATACGACTCCATGGCAAACCTTTCTCTAAGGAACAGTCTGATGCATCTACTTTTTGACATTTAGTGAGTCTGTTTCTGCAGAGCAGTGTAATAGAGGACGACTTGACTTTTCCCTCCCTGGACAGTTACACCTTGGGAGAAAATAAGACAAGCATCCATGAAGAAGACACTGACGTGCACGCGCGCGCGCGCGCGCGTACACACACACACACACACACACACACACACACACACACACACACTTTTTTAAATCAGAAAATAAAATGAAAGATATAACATTGCTAGCCAGTCTTTTAAAGCTCAAGAGGAATGAAAATCTAAGAAAGAAAGAAAGAAAGAAAGAAAGAAAGAAAGAAAGAAAGAGAGAGAGACAGAAAAGGTTATTATGTACTACTGCCAGCTAACTATGTAAGGAAAAAGTGGAGAGATACCAAATTTGAAAAGATACCAATGAGGCTGTCCCACGGCACTCTCGAGGTTTTGTTTAAAAAGCACATAAGGAAAGATAACAGAGGAATCTCACAAGAAAGGACAAGCATAACAATGATAACTGAAAAAGAAGAAAAGAAAGAAAAAGGAAGGAAGGAGGAAGATAAAAAGAAGAAAAAAGCAAGAAATTGAAGCATAGTATGAAATGAAATATTTAACAATATTAAAGGCAGCAAATGATTTTAATTCTATTTGGAACAAGAAGATAAATAGGAAAAGATAGAGCTCTTTGAAAAATTAAGTAATTCTAAGAGATTAGAGAAACACCAGTATATGAATTCCTTTCTGAACCTATATTCTTCTCTAGGTAGAACAATCTTTAGGAGAGAAGAGACTAAACTTTGCGTAGAAAAGATTGAGATCATGCTGGGAAAATAGCTAGTGAGAAAGCATGTGGCTACTTAAATTAATTAAAATATCTAGGCTTAGGTAAATTGCATCCAGGATACTAGAATAGTAATAATAATAACAATATTGTAGCCTTTTTATTGGGATACCTCTCAGAAGAAAATATAACAGTTACTTTCAGATACTTCTTTAATCTTTAAAACAATCAAATGAGTATTTTATCCTTGTGTACTAAAGGAGAAAGGAATTTAAAGGAATAATTTAATTGTCCATTATATAGCTAGTAAGAGGAACATGAATTCGGATTTAATATCTTTCCCATTACATAGAATTGTTATTTGCCTGTGGAAACAGGAGTAGCTTTGATAATATTGATCCATAAAGAACAGGCAAGGACCAAAAGAATGGACAAGTAGTGATTATGTAGTTTTCAGAGAAAGACAAAAGTTATTAATTTTTAATGAAAATATTCTGGTATGTATACAATGGTTAAGTTTGAGACTGGCCTCTGGCAATGTTCTGGAGAAGATACTGAAATAAATCATTTGTGACTAGTGAGAAAAGAAAAGGAAGCAACTACAATTTAGTAAAATAAATCATACCAGATTAAATTCATTTCCACTTGTAAATAGTCACTAAACTCATAATACAGTATTTCCTGATTTCAGCTAACCTTCCCATTATCATTATGGACAAGGTAAATGTAGATGGCATGTTTGTATCAAACAAATTACAGTTTAGACAGAGTTGCCTCCAGTTTCTTGGTAAGTGGATTCATGCTGGGCTTGAATAAGGTATTGGTCCTGACCTTGGTGCCCGATCATTCAGCAGATTTATCAAATTATATTTCAGAGGAAAATATAAATGGGATACTTAATAGATCTGAGAATGAACCAAACTGGAGGCAATGCTTATTTACAAGATGCCAAAAATCAGAAACCAAAGAGTATTTACCTTTGGATTTTCATCTAAAATGAAGGAAATCAGCTAGAACTGGAAAATACTTAGAAATCCTGCATTTTAGGTTTGTTTAAAAAAATACACAAGATAAGCAAAGGATTTATGCAGTTATGAAATGAGACTCTGGTTCTGGACAATTAGCTAATAGCACTCACTTGCCTTTCTACCATAAAATAGCTATAAAACCTGGAAAAACTATATCAAACATTTTTTACTTCTGAACCATAACCAACATAGTGCTGCAATTTGGGGTAACTGGAGGCACATGGAATGAGCCCATTCCCATGGATTATTTTTCCTCAGGGGATATTTTTTTCAGCAGAAGTTTTGGGAGGTTGAGAATAAGCAGAGAGCTGCAGTTTCACTGAGCAGAGGGCATATAGCTCAAGAGCTTGGAGCTATATAAAGTAACTAAGGTTTCTGGAGGTAAGCAAGGTGACAGAGAGGTGAGTACCAAGAGGCAGCACCGGAAGTCTGTGTGGCAATTCCTCTCAGTTCGTTAGCTGAATTGCTAGGCTGCATGTGTCCAGAGGCATTATTCTAGAGACCTGACAGATACAGTGCAGTGGCAGAGAGGCTGAAATTTGAGTGGACATTTTAGAGATCACACAATTCTGAGGAGATGTTGGAGTTCGGTTCCAGTCAGAATGGAAAGACTTTGGTGAACACCTCAGGCATTAGGATGAAACCCTTGAAGGATACTCCTTAGATAGAAGGATGATGTCCTAAGAGAAAGAATAAACTGAAATAGATTTGACTGAACGAAGCAAAAACTAGGCTTCTGTAGGGTTAGGGTGATCTACCAATGATTTAACCACCTGCTAGAACACAACTCAAAGTTTATGAGAGGAAGAAAACATAAGCTAAAATTTCTACAAATGCTGCATGCAATCAAAACTTACCAGACATGCAAAGAAGCAGAAAAGAGTACCTGATGGCAAAAAAAGAAAGAAAGAAAGAGAGAAAGAAAGAAAGAAAGAAAGAAAGAAAGAAAGAAAGAAAGAAAGAAAGAAAATACAGTCAATAGAGCTCAAGAAATGACACAGATTTTGGAACTAATAGGCAAGGGCTTTTAAATAACCATGAACTACCGTGGAGATGGGCAAAATGGATTAAAAAACAGAGCATTTCAGCAGGATATTAGGTTTCATAAAAATAATAAAATGAACTTTGTTGAATTGCTAAATCAAGAAGTAATTACATAGGTTTAAAAACCACCTGGATACTACACAAATAAACTGATGGTCTCATATAGAAATCAATAGAAAATATCCAGAGAGAGCAGAAAGAAGAGAGAGAGAGAGAGAGAGAGAGAGAGAGAGAGAGACTAGCAGAAACAACATTTGAAAAAATCATGGTGAAGAACTCGAAAGGTATTGATATGGTTTGGCTTTGTCCACATCGAAATCTCATCTTGTAGCTCCCATAATTCCCACATGTTGTGGGAGGGAGATAATTGAATCATGTAGGTCTTTCCCGTACTGTTCTCATGACAGTGAATAAGTCTCATGAGATCTGATGGTTTTAATAATGGGAATTTCCCTGCACAAGCTCTCTTCTCTTGTCTGTTGCCATGTGAGATGTGCCCTTTACTTTCCACCATGATTGTGAGGCCTCCCCAGCTACGTGGAAGTAAGTCCAATAAACCTCTTTCTTTTGCAAATTGCCCAGTCTCGGGCATGTTTTTATCAGCAGCATGAAAATGAACTAATACAGATATCAACCAAGAAATTCAAGAAGCTCAATGAACCCCAGGCAAAGAAAACCCCATCTAGGCCTATGAGAGTCAAATTGCTGAAAGACGAAAAAGAAAATTTAAAAACAACCAGAGGTTTAAAAAAATCACCTTTGGGGGAACAATATAAATGAACATTGATTTCAGCAGAAATATCATGGAAGGTAGAAGATAATAAATATATTTCAGGTACAGAAAGAAACAAATAAAAACTATCAAACCAGAATTCTGTGTCCATTGAAAAGAATCGAAAAATGAAAAAGATTTAGACTGACAAAAACTGAGAGACTTCATTGTTAGCTGACTATAAACTACAGAATTTACTCAGGGTTATTCTTCAAGCTGAAGGGACATAGTCTCACATTGAATCACAGAAATGTAAGCAAGAATAAACAGCCCCAGAAAGGGTAAATGATTGAGAATTTATAAAAGACTAACTGTTTGACACATAAAGAATAAGAGTATCTTGTGGGGCTTATACTGTTTATTAAAGTCAAATATAGAATAACAGCCTTAAAAGGATAAATATAAGATCCTTGCGTTTGATAATTTAAGGTAACAGTGTTAAGGATGATGTTTTAAGTGTAACCAATGAAAGAATGACATCAAAACGCACAACAAAAAAGGTAATACAGAAAATAAAATTGAATTATAAACCATACCTGACTGAGGTAAAAGAATGCAGGAAAAGAGGAATTAATGAACAAAGAACAGATAGGGCAAAGAGAAAATGATAATAAGATAGTAAATTTAAAACTCAACTGTGTTATTCATTACATTAAATATAAATGGCTGTGTGTGTGTGTGTAAATTAATAAGCTGATTCTGAAATTTTTATGTATATACGAGGAACCAAGATAAAACATTATTGAAGAATAAAATTGGATGTTTAGACTTACTATCAGATTTCCAAACTTATTATAAGGCTACAGAAATCAAGATATTATGGTATTGTCAGAATGAAAGTAAAATAGACCAATGGAAAATAATAGAAAGTCCAGATATAAACCCACACTTTTATTTTAATCTTAGCAGCCATCAAATCAGTCAATAACAGAGGAAACTAATTTATGGTGTTAGAGAGTTACTTGGTTAGAAGAGAGTGAAGAGAGTATTTACAAAAATGGGGAAATAAAAATACATGGGGTGATGGTAATGTTCTATCTTGAGCTAAGTGGTAGTTACTAAAATAAATTGATATGTAAAAATCCATCAAACTGCACACTTAAAATGTGTGTGCATTACTGTGTGTTTATTATACCTCAGATTTTCCAAATTGTATATTGAGTATTAGATACAAAGTACTAGGGCCCAGACATGATGGAGAACTGAAACTTAAGGAACATCAAATTCCTGCTCTCAAGAATGTGGATATCTGGTTTTGCAAAGTTTATTGAACCAAAACTTGGAGTTATTTGTTAGAAAACTTTCTTCCCATTGAGGGACTAAACAGTAAACAGATTACAGGAAGTAATAATGCCTTAGTACTCTATTTTCATTCTTCTGAGTTAACCTACCAGATTTAAGGATAAAGTGATTGATTGAAAAACACTTATTCTTTCATGAATCTCTTTACTTGCTTACTTGAAACCACTCTTTGGACTTTGCTAAATGCCAGATACTAGGTGGTGCTCTAGGGATACTAAGACATCAATCAATAGTTAAAGGATGTAGCTCTCCATAGAAGTCTTAGAAGATGGCCGGGTGCAGTGGCTCACACCTGTAATCCCCACATTTTGGGAGGCTGAGGTGGGTGGATCACCCGAGGTCAGGAGTTCAAGACCAGCCTGGCCAACATGGTAAAACCTCGTCTCTACTAAAAAATACGAAAAATTAGCTGGTTGTGGTGGTGCGTGCTTGTAATCCCAGCTACTCGGGAGGCTGAGGCAGGAGAATCACTTGAATCTGGGAGGCAGAGGTTGCAGTGAGCTGAGATAGTGCCATTGCACTCCAGCCTGGGCAACAGACGGAGACTCTGTCTCCAAAAAAAAAAAAAAAAATCTTAGAGGACAAGAATGGCTCTCTCAAACTTTTGAAGAAAGAATAAATAAATTATGCAGTTCTAGAAGAAGTAATGGGGATATAGGTGCAGCTCATGATGAGGAAGACTTAGCTTAACTTTCATAATGCATCTGTCTGGCCTAAGACGTGGTGAGCTTTTTATGTCTGAAAACATTCCAATATAGAATGATAATAATAATCACTTCTGACCCCCCTTTTTTTTCCTCTCCCTAGACTGTGAAGCAGAAACCCCATATTTTTCTTAGGGAAGTGGCTACGCACTTTGTATTTATATTAACAACTACCTTATCAGGAAATTCATATTGTTGCCCTTTTATGGATGGGGAAACTGGACAAGTGACAGAGCAAAATCCAAACACAGCTGGGGATTTCCCTCTTTTAGATGATGATTTTAAAAGAATGCTGCCAGAGAGATTCTTGCAGTGTTGGAGGACATATATGACCTTTAAGATATTTTCCAGCTCAGAGATGCTATGAATGTATCCTGAGTGCATGGATGGACCTCAGTTTTGCAGATTCTGTAGCTTATACAATTTGGTGGTTTTCTTTAGAAGAAAATAACACATTTATAAATATTAAAATAGGCCCAAGACCTTACAAGGGCATTCATACAAATGAGAGGCTCTGAAGTTTGAGTTTGTTCACTTTCTAGTTAATTATCTCCTGCCTGTTTGTCATAAATGCGTTTAGTAGGGAGCTGCTAATGACAGGTTCCTCCAACAGAGTGTGGAAGAAGGAGATGACAGCTGGCTTCCCCTCTGGGACAGCCTCAGAGCTAGTGGGGAAACTATGTTAGCAGAGTGATGCAGTGACCAAGAAAATAGCACTAGGAGAAAGCTGGTCCATGAGCAGCTGGTGAGAAAAGGGGTGGTAATCATGTATGCCCTTTCCTGTTTTATTTTTTATTGGGTTTCCTTTTGCCTCTCAATTCCTTCTGACAATACAAAATGTTGGTTGGAACATGGAGCACCTGGAAGTCTGGTTCATTTTCTCTCAGTCTCTTGATGTTCTCTCGGGTTCACTGCCTATTGTTCTCAGTTCTACACTTGAGCAATCTCCTCAATAGCTAAAGCTTCCACAATGCAGATTTTGTGATGACAAATTCAGCATCACCCAGCAGAACTTAGGTTTTTTTCTGTCCTCCGTTTCCTGACCTTTTTCTTCTGAGTGCTTTATGTCACCTCGTGAACCATCCTTTCCTTAGTCATCTACCTAGCAGTCCTGATTCTTTTGACTTGTCTCCCTACACCACAATAAATCACTAATTACTATGGATTCAATCCCTAAAATTTGCACAAACTTGCAAATAGATTACGGGTTGAAACTTAGAGATTTCAAACTTGAGAAAAAAGTTTAAATCAAGAAAAATGACCTTTACCTTGAGAGTAGAGGCAATGTCATTTCCAGGAATAATTATAATAATATTGTGTTTAATATTTGTATGTAACATTTGAATACCTTCAATGTTCTTATTTGTGTTATTTTAATCTCTTGATGTTACTAACTCATTTGGTAGGGAAGAAAACATGCTAAAATAGGCATGAGTGTCTTATTAAATGTGACAAGTGAATAGATGGCAGAAGGTGGATTCATATTCAGTTTTCCATCACCCTGGAAATCATGCGGAGATGATTTCTGCTTGCAAATAAAACTAACCCAATGAGGGGAACAGCTGTTCTTAGGTGAAAACAAAACAAACACGCCAAAAACCTTTATTCTCTTTATTATGAATCAAATTTTTCCTCTCAGATAATTGTTTTATTTATTTATTTTTATTATTATTGTTATTATGTCCAGTCTCACTCTGTCGCCTAAGCTGGCATGATCTCCGCCCACTGCAACCTCCGCCTCCCGGGTTCAAGCGATTCTCCTGCCTCAGCCTCCCAAGTAGCTGGGACTACAGGCTGCACCACCATGCCCGGCTAATTTTTCGTATTTTTAGTAGAAACAGGGTTTCATCTTGTTGGCCAGGCTAGTCTCCAACTCCTGACCTCAGGCGATCCGCCTGCCTCGGCCTCCCAAAGTACTGGGATTACAGGCTTGAGCCACTGCGCCTGGCCATTGTTTTATATTATATAAATTTTTAAAACATGTATTGCATTTACTTTGTATTATCTGTGGTACAATTTCAACTCAAGAATTTCCTGCTTACCATCCTACCTAGTTTGTGTGTTCTGGAGAACATGTGCCCACGAACACAAAATAATTTTAACAGTTGCCAAAGGAAGAAATACATAATTTAGAAATTGAATGTACTGATAAAATGCTACATAATTAATTTAAAAAGTTTATATATATTTTCTTGATTATCTGTTGAATTATTAATGCTTGGAATTAAGACTTAATTACATATCATTAACTATGTTGGCTGATGCTCCCAGAGCCATTTACCATGTGGATTGTGCAAAAATGACCTACAGGCTTTCCTAGACAGCGGGAGACTGCATTTTGACCTACAACATAAACTTCTATTACTGTTTCAGTCTCTATTTATATAAAACTTTCTTTTGGTTTTCAGTTTTAGAGTTTTCTTTCCTCCTCATCTTCTTCTTTTCTCTCTCTCTCTTTTTTTATTTTCACTGACAGACATTTTGGGGTTCTGAATTTTCTTTCTCCCTCCCTCCCTCCATCATTCTTATCTTTCTTCCTTTCTTCCTTCCCTTCTTTTCTTTCCTTCCTTTCCTTCTTTTCTTTCCTTCCTTTCCTTCTTCTCTAGTATTCCAAAATTTTATAAATCAATAATCCTCTCCCCAAAAATTTAATAAATACATAGCAACATTTATTAGCACTGTATATCGTCTGGCACGAGCATTTTATTTGCCTAGTGCACTGCCTCCTGCCTCCTTAGTCGGTCATTGGATTAATTCCTCAATTGCATCCGCTCTTCTCTACTTCTACTTCTACATTTTATTTATTTATTTATTACTTATATGATTACTATTAATTTTGGAGACACAGTCTTGCTCTGTCACCCAGGCTAGAGTGCAGTGGCCCAATCTTGGCTCACTGCAGCCTCCATCTCCTGGGTTCAAGCGATTCTCCTGCCTCAGTCTCCTGAGTAGCTGGGATTATAGGCACCCACTACCATACCTGGCTAATTTTTGTATTTTTAGTAGAGATGGGGTTTCACCCTCTTGACCAGGCTGGTCTCGAACTCCTGACCTCAAGTGATCCGCCCATGTTGGCCTCCCAAAGGGTTGGGATTACAGGCGTGAGCCACCGCACCTGGCCCTACTACAATGTTTTAAACCAATGACACTTCTTTCCTGGACTTTAGTGAGAAGATCTACCTTGCTACTCTCCCAAATTCCACACTTCATCCTTTCCGGTACATATAGAATAATATTTTGAAGCCTTTGGTAATGCAACTCTTATCTTTCTATTCCCTGGGAGAAAATAACCTTTAAAACAAATTCCTTAATATGCCCTCTAAATGCCTTCCAAGTTTTAGCCCCTACACATTTATCCGTATTCATCCTAATGCAATCCTCATGTCAACTCCCACTGCCCTCGCTACCTGATAAACCTTCTCTTTCTCTAAGAATTCTTACCAACTCTTCCCCCTCTTAGAATACTCTTGATACTCCTACTCACCTAGCTTGCTATTGTTCGTCCTTGAGGTCTCAGCTTAGAGGTCACTTTCTAGGGGAAGCTCTCTAGATTAGGTTGAGTTTCCTAGATGCCCTATATTATTTCTTTCGAAAAAAAACCTTATGCTCAAATTCTGGTGTTCCCATAGACAGTAGCCCTGTAGGTGCAGGTATGTAATTGCTTTTCTCATTACCATATCTCTACTACTCCAGATTTATTCTTTGTCTAGGTCATCTTGCCTATTCTTAATTTTTAACATTTCCATATGAATTTTGCAAGTAGTTGTTGCTTTTCACAAAAAATCCACTGAGATGTTGATTGGGATCACATTCAGTCTACAGATCAGTTTGGGAATAACAAATATCTTCACATTATTGATTCTTGCAATCCATGAATATAGTTTATCCCTTTGTTAATTTAAATCTTCTTTAATTTCTCAAAAAGGCATTGAGTTCACCTTGATGTAGATTACCTTAATCTAGTCTGGCTTGAGTTGATTTTGAACTCAGTTTTTTCAGTCTTGGGGAGAGTTGTACTGTTTCCAGGTTTTTATTCCTAAGAGGCTCCAACTGAATCTCTGGGGTGGTTGCAAGGGACCCTCTTACTTGGCCTGCCCTGAAACTCAGTTCTGGTTTTTCCATCAAAAAGATTTCTGAAAAGTGACCTCTGTAACCTAATCTTTTACTCCTTGCATTCTACTTGATATTAATCCACTCGGCTCAGGGAAACAAATGTCTCAAAGGGAAAGGTAGAGTGCACCATGTCAATCTTACCTGAATGTGCTTTTCTCTTCTCTGAGATCTTAGTCCCTGAATCCAGGTTGCATTGAGAGCAGTCCAATCTTTGATTTTTTACAAAAAAAAATTTTAGTTGTTCTCCTTTGAATAATTGATTTGATTCCATTAAGGAAGTCAATAGTAGAATTATATGTTTGAAGGCCATATATTCAACAAGTCCAAGACCATGTTAAATTAAAGGTTATAATTGCATAAGAAAGGCTGAAAATGCCTTTGTGACCATACTTGTAAGTGACAATGCTAATGTCTTACCTCCTACTCTTGTTAGGCCCATTTCTTGACTCTTAACCTGAGCTTACTATTCTATTCCTGTATGTGTGCTTTCGGGATTAAATTTACCATATATAAAACAAAGCCTCAATATTAATCTCAAATAAGTTAGAGGCTTTATATCCTACTCATAAAAGAAGATCTAGAAGTATACTAACACCACAGTCATCAGGAAGGCATGTTCCTTCTAGCTTTCTGCTTTGGCATCTGTAATCCTGTAGGTTTCAAGTTCTCCTTAGGGCCTGTAATGCCTGCCATAGTTCCTGTAATCATGTCTGTGTTTGAGGCAAGAAAAAGAAGGACATGGTAAGAAGGAAAGGTAAAAGGGCTTATCTCTAGCCTGGGATGGTTCATGTCAACGTTAAAAGATGCCCCCTTACATCACATTGACAAATCTATTTGCAAAGGAGGCTATGAAATGTAGCCCTTTGCTCAGAATAGAATCGAAGCTTTATAAGTATGAAAGACAGAGAAAATGGATATTGGATGAAAACATTAGCAGTCCTGGAGTGGTGGTGCATGCCTGTAGTCTCAGTCACTATGGAGGCAGAGGTGGGAGGATTGCTTGAGTTCGAGAGTTTGAGTCCAGCCTGGACAACATAGTGATACCCCCCTCTCTCTTAAAAAAAAGCAAACCAACACTGTCTCTGCTATATTTTTTCTTTCTCATTGCTGTTAGGATTAATGTATAACATATTTGGAAACATTACCTTCTAGCTATAAAATAGCCTCTGACACATTTTTTTTTTTTTTGAGATGGAGTTTTGCTCTTGTTGCCCAGGCTGGAGTGCAATGGCACAATCTCAGCTCACTGCAACCTCCACCTCCCGGGTTCAAGTGATTCTCCCTTGGGTTCAGCCTCCCGAGTAGCTGGGATTACAGGTCTGCACCACCACACCTGGCTAATTTTGTATTTTCAGTAGAGACAGGATTTCTCCCTGTTGGTCAGGCTGGTCTCAAACTCCCGATCTCAGGTGATCTGCCCACCTTGGCCTCCCAAAGTGCTTGGATTACAGGCGGGAGCCACTGTGCCCGGCTGCCTCTGACACATAATTTTACTCATCCTTTTGTAATTCTGCTGCAGTCCACATAACTGCTAGTATCACTCTATTTGTAAAATAGATTTATCTCTGTAACTGATTACATTGCTATACACACATAGCTATACTGTCCTAAGTAAGCCTCATCTAAGACTGGGTTAAATTTAGCTGAAAAACATATGGGAATAGTAGGTACTAATAGTTCTTTTTTATCTTCTAAAATGTAGTTATGAAATAAGTTTTATTCATTTACATACTCTCAAAGCTTAGTCAAAACCTCATCCTATAATAAAACATTGAAGTCATTGAAATAGTCATAGTAAACAAGTAAGAATACAAATTGATTGAGAAAGAGTAAAAGAATTTTCAAGACTCCCGGAGTTGTGGAGTTTTTACTGATATTAATGACCTGAATTTTAAGTCATTATTAGCTGATTTTTAGGCCTGTATTCGTGCCTTTTGCCAAGCAAAGGGCATGGCATGCTTTTTAACAAATGTATTATTTTGTAAGCTTACATGGCTACATATATTTTGTCTACTTTAAATGCATGCCAAAATTATACTCCTTTAAACCAAAGATAAAGCAAAGTACCCAAACACATGAAATCAGTCCCTTATCTCTGGACTCCCTGAGCTCAGTTTAAGCATATTGCTTAGAGATTCACAAACTCTGTTGGCATTAGAAGTCACCTAACATCATTCTTTTTTATTGACTTAAGTTTTTTCTTTAACTTCAAGTTTGATATACTTTTAAGTTGTTCTAAAGGAGATTTAGGCATTACGTTTTTACCATTGACTAACTGTTTATTTCTCAGTCTCTCTCTGTGTCTCTCTTTCTCTTTTATTTCCTGTATCCATCCTAAAATTCTATAACCAGCTCAGTTGCCTTTGCATGGTACACCCTACCACAATCTCATTATATTGTCAGTCTCTCCCTAATTATCAGAATGTATTTTATTTCTGATTTGTTTTTAAATTATACTTCAAGTTCTGGGGTACATGTGCAGAACGTGCAGGTTTGTTACATAGGTATAAATGTGCCATGGTGGTTTGCTGCACCCATCAACTCATCATCTACATTAAGCATTTCTCCTAATGCTATCCCTCCCCTAGCCCCCCACCTCCCGGCAGGCCCTAGTGTGTGATGTTCCCCTCTCTGTGTCCGTGTGTTCTCATTGTTCAACTCCCACTTATGAGTGAGAACATGCAGTGTTTGGTTTTCTGTTCTTGTGTTAGTTTGCTGAGAATGAAAAAAAAGTATAAGAAAATAAAATAAAATAAAGTTCATCACTGATCATTAGAGAAATGCAAACCAAAACCACAATAAGTTACCATCTCACACCAGTCAGAATGGCTATTATTTAAAAGTCAAAAAATAACAGATGTGGGAAAGGTTGTGGAAAAAAAGGAAAGCTTATACACTGTTGGTGGAATGTAAATTAGTTCAACCATTGTGGGAGACAGTGTGGCAATTCCTCAAAGACCTAAAAACAGAAATATCATTTGACCCAGCAATCCCATGACCCAAAGGAATATAAATTGTTTTTTCATAAAGACATATGCACACGTATGTTTATTGCAGCACTATTCACAATACCAAAGACTTAGAACCAACCCAAATGTCCATTAATAATAGACTGGATTAAGAAAATGTGGTTCATATACACCATGGAATACTATGCAGCCATAAAAAATAATGACATCCTGTTCTTTGAAGGAACATGGATGGAGCTGGAGGCCATTATCATTAGCAAACTACTGCTGCAACAGAAAACCAAATACCACATATTCTTACTTACAAGTGGGAGCTAAATTATGTGAACATGGATACATAGAGTGGAACAACACACACTGGGGCCTACTCTGGGGTAAAGGGTGGGAGGAAGGAGAGGATTAGGGAAAATAACTAATGAGTATTAGACTTAAAACCTGGGTGATAAAATAATCTGTACCACAAACCCCCATGACACAACTTCACCTGTATAACAAACCTGTACCTGTACCCCTGAACTTAAAATAAAAATTAAAAAAAATTTCCTCCTGGCCTTTTGTAATTCTTCCCTTCTTCTTCTTGTCTGATACCCCCAGGCAACAACTGACTTGTTTTCTATCACGAGAGACTAGTTTTCATTTCTAGAAAATTTATATGAATGGAATTACACAGTATGCAGTCCTTTTTGGTATGGTTTCTTTTATTCAGCATGGTATTTGGGGATTTATCTACAAATACTATAGCATGTGCTTATGGTTAATTTCTTTTTGTAGTACTGAGTAGCATAGTTTGTTTATCTGATTACCTGTTGATGAACATTTGAGTTTGGACTATCATATGTAAAGACTCTATGAATGCTCCTGTATGAATCTTCTTATGGATACATACACATTTATTTATCTGGTCTAATTACCTAAGTACAGAATGACTTGATCATACAAAAAGTGTATGTTAAACTTTTTAAGAAGCTGCCGAAATGTTCCACTTTATATTCCCACCAGCAGTAGATAAGAGTTCTAGTTCCTCCACATCTTCCCCAATACTTATTGTGGTCAGTCATTTTAGTTTTAGCCACTCTAATGAGTGTGCAATAAAATTTGATGGTGGTTTTAATTTGCATTTTGTAATAACTATTGATGTTGAGCATATTTTCATGTGCCTATTTGTCACATACATATATATGACATATATATATATCTCTCTCAGGATTTCTCCCTTCTATCACTGTATCCAGAATATTCTGGGGTAGAATAAAGAAGTCCTGATAGAGAATTCCTTAGAGAAGAAGGGCATGTGGTCAAAGGAATAGACAGTGCAATTGGTTAAATGGAGCTCGCATAATTGTCCTTCACAACCAGAGGAGAGAAGGCAAAGATAAGCGTGGATATAGAAACATAAATGGCCGAGCAGAACTCACACGAAGTAAGCGACATAACATCTCGCTATTCTCATTCCATTCAAGTACTGCCTTTGTTTACTCCCTGGCTCACCTGGGAGAAACTTTGTTGCAGGTTGGAAGAGCTCTCTGCCAGAGAAATTGAGTTACATAGTTTAAGGCATGGTGCTCCTCTAAGACAGATAGTCTTAATGCGTCCACAGGAGGAAACTACAGACTAAAATTTTTTTAGAGAACCAGACAAAAGCAGTTTGGGGACAGTAGACGTAATGATAAGTGGGAATTTGGATAAGTTTTTGGAAGCCTTGCTATTTGTTGAATTCTGTTAATATTTCCTCTATAAAATTCAGTATTGAGTCTCATTCTTCTTCAATGCTTTTGCGGTAAAAATTGGGTTTCTTTTGAATACAAAGATTTTCTAGGACTAATGTTATGCCAAGGTTTAGCTTTACATGCTTATATACACAATTTGTCTTTGGCAGGGTGAATGTGGGAAGAGGTCATGCCTAATGGCTAAGCAGAACTCATACAAAGTCGGGGACAAATATTCACTGATAGTGTAGAGGATTTGTTTGTATAGTGAGTGCACTGAGAACAGTAAAGAATAGGGAGCTTTAGGAAAATCATGAGAGATGAAAGAATTTGAAAAAAGTGAAGTTACATTTTTACAGATTGTTCTGAGGTCTCAGCTAAGTTGTACCACCATAAGATTTTTATTTGTAGCTACCCTAAGCTCCCAGGATCTAGGAGATAAGAAGTTAGACCATGATATTGAATGCTCTGGGCTGTGTGGTATAAGCATGAGACACACACTGGGCAGGAAAGGTGGAAATGCAAAGAAGGTAAGAGTTTTAGAGGTATATTTTGTTGTTATCAGCGTAGTGAAATCTACCACTGAACTTTATCCTTCAACTTGGCTTTGTCAAGGAGTTTCCTGATAAACCCATTCTTTCCATTTTATTTATTTATTTATTTATTTATTTATTTATTTATTTAATGAGACAAGGGTCTTAGTCTGTCGCCCAGGCTGGAATGCAGTGGCATGATCTTGGCTCACTGCAACCTCTGTCTCCTGGGTTCAAGTGATTCTCCCACCTCAGCCTCCCAAGTAGCTGGGACTACAGGCATGTGCCACTATGCACGGCTAATTGTTGTATTTTTTTATTTTTATTTTTATTTTTCGTAGAGATGGGGTTTGGCCATGTTTGCCAGGCTGGTCTTGAACTCCTGACCTCAGGTGATCCACCTGCCTGAGACTCCCAAAGTTCTGGGATAAGTGGTGTGAGCCACCGCACCTGGCCAATTATTTTTATTACTGTTATTGCCAATTATTGGTACATCACTGTTAGTTTATTACGAATGATTGAACAAGTACAACACAGTACATCTGTGCATTGTGCCAGGGATACTAAGATAACCAAGACTGTGCCCTGCGTTGATGGTACTCTCAGCATTTGCACTTTATTTCACAAACTTGTAAGGCCATTCACATCTTCAAAATAGTCTTATCACATCAGTATTTCATAATTAGATAATTCCTAATATTCCTTACAATTAAAATTATTTTGAATGTTATTCCCTGATGTTACATAATACTGTCCTATTGTCTGACTCTTTTGTGGACAATTTCTCCGTTTTATATTTCCTTCACCTCTGTAAAACAAGATATCTATTTTGATGAGAAAATATTTAAATTTATCAGTTCTGGTGCTCTGTAAAATGACAACTGTTTGAAATTCTGTCCTACGTTTCTCATTATTTTTATGGAAGTTAAAGCTTCTTGGTCTTTTTCTATATTTACAGTTGTCTCTTCATTTTAGTAGTTCATTTACTTTTTCCCAATATTATTACAGCCCTGGGATATGAAAGAATTTTTAATTGCTTCATTAAGCCACATCTTTTGTGCTTGTAAAAAAATGGGGCTTCTAGCCAGATATCTTTACCTCTCCAGTCATTTATTAATGGACCAATAAAACATACCCTAAAGTGTCTTCATGTTGTAATAGAAATCATAGCAGACATTTATATAGGGGTTTCTTTCTGTGATAGTCAAAGCATTTGGCAGATTTTTGCTATCAAGCTTACTGAATTTATGGAAAGCAGAGTAGTAATTGATTAAGCAAGGAAAAGAAATGATTTCTGAAATACAAAACTCATAGAGAGTGGTTAAATGAGGAGGAAAAACTTTTTATGTTTTTATCATATTACAAAACAATGGTATCTGCCATACAGGAAAATGTGGGATAGAAACAAAGTTACAAAAATGTGCTCTGAGGAGGGCAGTGGTGGGTTTGTCAAATAAAAGGGAGGAAATGCAAGTTAAAGGAGTCTGTGGGGTAAAAGGAAGTAAAGGAATACAGGGAACAAAATCAATGTTTCTGTTGTGTGTGGTGTTCGCTTTGAACCCTACCCTACATATCATCAAAGATAAGATGCCAGCAGCAAAAAATAATTTCTAGGTTTGTCCAGCTGGTACAGGCTATAATGGGAAACATTAGGAATAATGAAGTCTGAAGATACAAATGCCATAATATCCCCTTTTTTCCAGTTTCACTTGATAGACAATTTTGATACTTATGTTTCACTGGCAAGGATAATGAAATTGACACTGAATTTCACATTTAGACATGGTATAGGAATTCAGATGCACAGAAATTATGCTTCATAATTAACAGGGGAAGTCTACCTTCCAGGTTGAATACATGATATAGGAAGAGTTCAGAGGTGTGGAGGGAAAAGAGAGATTTCTCTTTTACCCTGCAAATAGATGAAAAGCACAAGAATATAGCATAAAATCGAAATCATGCTATTCTTCCTTAAACTTTTTGATGAAATTAGCAAATAATTTCATATAAAATTTTAAAATTAATGTAAGTTGAATTTTATTATTTTTGAGTAGAAAGCAATTTCATGAGCGCTTCTAAGATGAAGGAGAAAGCTTTGGAGAAATCTCATGCTTGTCCTCAGGCAGTTTGAGCTACATAGTCAGCTACCCGTCCACCACAATACCTTAAATACAATTTCATACTCCTTTATCTTAGGAGGAATTTGGTGGATAAGTTTGAGCTTTATTGCCATAAAAGAACAGGTTAAAGTGTCCTAAATGGACTCTGACAGGCAGTCTGGAAGTTATCAAATCGTTGATAAATCTAGTTAGTACTATTTGAAAAGTAAATTATGAGAAAACTGAGAAAATGAACCATTTTATTGCAAGAATGCAGCGTGAGTAACTCTCTCTGTGTAACAGCCTCTAATAAAATGTGTTTAATCACCTGCCGCAAACAGGAATTTCCTTTCAGCATTTCTACAGTCAGAACAAAGGAACTATTTCAGTTTTCCCTTTTAATGCCTTCTCCCATTGCCTGTCCTCAGTACAGCTGAATTGGCAACCTGTTATGTGAAAGGTGGAGCACAAAGTTCCACCTACCACTGGGTCTCCCCTCCCTTTCGTCTAGACACTTCCTCACCCTTGAGGAACAATACAAGTCAGGTGACTGGTGTAGAGAAGGTCGCTTACATTCATGTGTGTTACCTAAGAGGGTTGTATAAGAAGGTGGGAAGAACGCAGGGCTAGCATGGAATTTGTGGGCTTGTCTTTCTTAGTCAATTTCCTGTTAACATGGTTTACTTCGTAATATTCTTTAGAAGCAGATAGAACTTGTTATTCACATATATTAAATGTGTGTATATTTAAAGCTGTGGGCTATTGAGGCATTAGGAACTATCCAAGCAAGGGATAGATTTGGATTGAGTACTGGTCAGAAATTGCTCCAAGCATGGGGAAGCAAGGCAGCAGGTACCCATAAGACTCCCAACTGTGTCCTGTTGACCACCGGGAAACATGTCCAACTGACAGCTTTGTCCAAAGCAGGCCTGCCTCTTTATAATTTCATGGAATAATGAAATCAAAGCCTTGGGATAATCTTTTACATCAACACCTTCATTTTAATAAAGCAAGAAGCTGAGGTTTTAGAGAGAGAAAATGATTTCTATATAGTCTCACTTCTAGGTAGTACAAAACCTGGGACTAAAATATGGATTTTCTGGTTCTCAGTTTTGTGTCCTCCCTTTATGTATCATGGATAAAGTTTTCATCCAAAATACACAGAATCAGTGCCAGCAAGTTAAAAAACACCAGCCATAACTGAAAACTATTTTTCATTTTTTCTAATAAGGAAATGGAAAAGCTGGATGCCTGTAAATTATACTGGGTTGATAGAAACAGATAAATAGTAGAGGCACATCATTTGTTAAGTATCCATCCTATTTTGATTTTCCTAAAGCCAGTGCCCAAGAAGAAGAAATGGGTATAGATCGTTTATTCAGGGGGACATTTTAGGAAGCAGAAGTGAGAGAGGTAGGAAAATGAGAAAAAGAAGGAAGAGGAGTCAGCTATGTGCTCCATGATGCAATTGCTTCTGTGAGGAAGTAGAGGCTCAGTCCCCATGGAGCCTCTGAGGAACTGTACAGAACAGTCCTTAGCATTGTCTCCTTAGAGGACAGGATTGCTGGGGCTTTCCTCAAGACTCCTGACTCTCACTTGTGAAGGATTTATCCTGGGGTATTAATTCCCCTGCCTTTGTGTGTTGAGCTAGCTTGCAGCTCCATGGTCTCCTGTGGCAAGGGAGAAGGCCTTGAACAGCAGACAGGCATTCCTGGTATGGGCACTGGCTATGCACGTGGAATTGCCCACGAGTCGTGTGCTGAAAACAGCTGGGCTTAGGGGAATTTGCACAATGAATAGCAACCATTGGCTATAGCCTAATTCTCAACTATGACAGTTTTATGAGTTCTTTATCAAGTAATAATTCTTATGAAATTGGAATTGAATCTCTTCTAGGGCTCTCTTGAAGAAGATTTGTGGGTTCTTTGTAAACTAGACCATTAGGTATATATATTATTCATTGAGAAGATGTAAAACTCCAGGAAGAAAATGCAACCGATATCAATAAAAATAATGCCTTTGAATAATGTCTTTGAATTCATGTAAACTTTTGACTTTTCTCAAAATTCTTTCTCATATGTTATCTTTTTTTGTTCTCCCATATCTCAAATCTCTCACTATTCTATGAACATGCTTGTCGCCTTTTTTGCTTCCATTCTCTTGTGATATATAATTCCCTCTTTAAATGTCTTTTTTTAAAGTAGACAAATCTTTGAAGATATAGGTGAAATATCAGGTCTTTCATGAAGTCTTCCCTGTTTCACTAGGAAAGCAGAATTAGCGGTTTTCAGCTCTGTTCTAAATTTTTAGGCACCTTTTTTTCCAGGAGACAATACCATTTCTAGATCTTAAATACGCAAATTCAAACAAGATGATATTCATTCTCTACTACTTTGATTAATATTCAGAATAAAATTTAATACCCAGCATGGATATGGCAATATAAAACATGTTGAATACAGTATTGTTATTAATTTGGAATATCTGAAGGGCAATATTTTCTATAATCTTGCTTGTTAAAAAGAATGTCATTGTTAAAATTGAATTTAATGGATTTCTGGTATAAGAAGACAATTTAGCAAAGTTTCTGCCCCCACCAGGAAGCAGAAACACTGATTTCATCTGTTATTAAATTAGGAGTTATCTATAATTCTGAATCTAAATATACAAAGGTGCAAAGATGTATGAATGATAAATTACTTAATAAGTTAGAGAAACTTCAAATACACACACACATGCACACACACACACATACACACATATGTACCTATAAAGGGAGTTATCAGTGAGAAGAAAGCTGTTCTTTAGAATTCATGTAAGGACACTTTAATCTGTTCTCTTATAGAAATTCTTTTGACTTGTGAAGGTGAGGAACCAGGACTATAGGAAGAAGTGTGTTTGGAGATGGGACGTAAGCTTGGGGTAATTGGGAAGTTTACATTAAGAGCAACTAGATGTTCAGGACCACCTCCCCCTCCCCAGAAGTCAGGCATGTAAACTGGATCAAGAATTTGAGGAATCCTTAGATAGAGAAACTGAACCATCCCAGAGAGTAAGCTTGGATCATGCTTAAAAGAGTGAAGTCTACCAGTCAGAACAATCTGCCATTCACACAGAGCTTAAAAGCAAGCTTTAAATATGAACAGATAGCTTAG